>NC_000014.9:62642016-62945046 GCF_000001405.40 Homo sapiens
TAGAATGGCAATCATTAAAAAGTCAGGAAACAACAGGTGCTGGAGAGGATGTGGAGAAATAGGAACACTTTTACACTGTTGGTGGGACTGTAAACTAGTTCAACCATTGTGGAAGTCAGTGTGGTGATTCCTCAGGGATCTAGAACTAGAAATACCATTTGACCCAGCCATCCCATTACTGGGTATATACCCAAAGGACTATAAATCATGCTGCTATAAAGACACATGCACACATATGTTTATTGCGACATTATTCACAATAGCAAAGACTTGGAACCAACCCAAATGTCCAACAATGATAGACTGGATTAAGAAAATGTGGCACATATACACCATGGAATACTATGCAGCCATAAAAAATGATGAGTTCATGTCCTTTGTAGCAACATGGATGAAGTTGGAAATCATCATTCTCAGTAAACTATCGCAAGAACAAAAAACCAAACACCGCATATTCTCACTCATAGGTGGGAATTGAACAATGAGAACACATGGACACAGGAAGGGGAACATCACGCTCTGGGGACTGTTGTGGGGTGGGGGAGGGGGGAGGGATAGCATTGGGAGATATACCTAATGCTAGATGACGAGTTAGTGGGTGCAGCGCACCAGCATGTCACATGTATACATATGTAACTAACCTGCACATTGTGCACATGTACCCTAAAACTTAAAGTATAATAATAATTAAAAAAAAAAAAGCCAGGCACAGTGGCTCACACCTGTAATCCCAGAACTTTGGGGAGGCTGAGGCAGGAGGCTTACCTGAGGTCAGGAGTTCAAGACCAGCCTCACCAACATGGAGAAACCCCATCACTACTAAAAATACAAAATTAGCTGGGCATGGTGGCACATGCCTGTAATCCCAGCTACTTGGGAGGCTGAGGCAGGAGAATCACTTGCACCCAGGAGGCAGAGGTTGTGGTGAGCCGAGATCATGCCACTGCACTCCAGCCTGGGCAACAGAGCGAAACTCTGTCTCAAATAAATAAACCATATATTAAACAACAACAACAACAAAAAAAAAACAAAACAGTATGGTAAAGGCATAATTATAGACATACAGAGCAATGTAACAGAATGGAGAGCCCAGAAATATATCCAAGTATATATGGTCAGCTGATCTTCAACAAGGCTGTTATGACTACATAATGGGAAAATAATAGTCTCTTCAAGAAATGGGACTAGGAAAACTGGATAGTCACATAGAAAATAATGACGCATCTCACACCATATACAAAAACCAAACTCAAAATGAATTCAAGACATAAATGTAAGAACAGAAACTATAAAACTCCTACAAAAAAGTAGGGGAAAAGCTCCTTGACACTGGTCTTGGCAATTATTTTTCAGATATGACACCAAAAGCACTATCAACAAAAGCCAAAACAGACAAGTTGGACTATATCAAACTAAAAAGCTTTTGCATTACCAAGAAAATCAGAATGAAATGACAATTTATGAAATGGGATAAAATATTTGTAAACCATATATTTGATATGGGCTTATCTTCAAAATGTATAAGAAATGTCTATAACTCAATAGTAAAAAATAAAACAAAAAAACCAAAACAGTAATCCAATTGAAAAATGGGCAAAGGACTTGAACATACATTTCTCCAAAGATGACATACAAATATACCTGGCCAACACGTATATGCAAAAACATTCAAAATCACTAATCATCAGGGACATGAAAATCACCACCACAATGAGGTATCACCTCAAACCTGTCACAATGGCTATTTAAAAAACAAGACAACAAATATTGGTAAGAATGTGGAGAAATTAGAACTCTTGCATACTGTTGGTGGGAAGGCAAACTGGTACAGCCACTATGAGGAAAACGTTATGCAGGTTCCTCAAAAAATTAAAAACATAACTGTCATATAATCCAACAATCCTGAGGTGTTTTGTTTTTTTTTTTTTTCAAAAAATCGAAGTCAAGAGCTCAAATATTAACACTGCTATGTTCTTTGCAGCACTAGTCACAATAGCCAGGATGTAGAAATAACCTAAATGTCCATCATCAATAAAGAAAATGTGGTACATACAGTCAATGGACACTATTTAGGTGTAAAAGGAAATTCTGCAATATGCAACACATGGATGAGCCTTAAGGATATTATACTAAGTGAAATAAGCCAGTGACAGTAAGACAAATAATGCATAATTCACTTATATGAAGTATATAAAATAGTTAAAATTGTTAGAATCAAAGACTGTAAATGGTGGTGGCCAGGGGTCAGAGACAGGGAGAAGTGAGGAGTTGTTAATAAACAGGCATAAAGTTTCAGTCCAGCAAGTTGAATAAGTCCTAGTCATCTGCTGTACAACCTTGTATCTACTGTCAACTATATCATATTATACACTTAAAAATCTGTTAAGAGGGTAGAACTCAAGTATTCTTATCAAAATAAAAATGGGTTTCAAAATAAAATAAAAATGATATGATACCAGAACTGAATCAGGTATTTTACAACCTTGATAAAAGAATATATGAACAAAATCCACGTGTTAAGCCATGGGACTATATTAAATGAGTTCATACACAAATTTCTAAGCACACAATAAATGCTCAAGAATGTTAGTGGTATTACCGTTACTGTGGTTGTTTATTGTTGTATTTTAATGCCTAAAGAAATTCCTCAAATAAAACTGGTGGTGTTGCGAGGTGCTTGAATATTTAATATTTTCTCTCTACAGTTCAGTACTTTTTCTAGTAACCAGTTTCCTGGTTCTAATAATATAATCATACGTGTTTAGATGGGCCTGTGCAACCTAACTGGGCTACCCTGTTGCTGTACCACCACCACCACTCCCCCATCCACCTTTATTGAGTGCTTTTGATGTGGGCATTAGGATGTTCCAGATTCAGTTTATTTAGATACCTGATTCAACGGTGACCAACACAGTCAAAGATACTTCACACAGATAAGATTCAAATAAAAGGGTTAGATAATGTAGATTATATATGATTTTAAATCCCACGTATGATTTTAAATCTCATCCACTAATTATTGAATGGTGTTCGTTTCATTCTTCAGGAGTTTAAGATCCCCTTTAAAGTGTTTTTAAGTATATGTGAATTATTATGTAAGCAGTATTTCTGTAATGCTTTCAATTATGAGTAAAGTATTTCTACATTTTTGTATACTTGTTTTCAAAATTTTTTTCTCCATATGGTCTTATTCAAAAGTATCTCCCCTTTATTAAATATTAAATGTAAATTTTGAGTGTTTGAGTTTTCACCCTCCAAAAAATTATGTCAGGCAACATAACAGTTATTTGTCCTCACAAAAATGATCAAATTTGAAACTCTGCCTTTTTATTTTTACAAGTGCATAATTCATCTTCCAGTTCTATAACAATATCATATATTACCACAAGATTTCCAGGAAAGCTCCTATTAATTACAAATGATTCTCCTAGTTACCCTCCATCTCATTCATGTATTTTGAGGATTCTACTGTGTTGAAAAGTCTTTGTATTTTAAAATTAACCTCATTGATGATACTGTGGCTTCTACCTCATTGCTAAAATACATTGTCTGTGAAAAATGCAGTAAATGAGTTTTACATATGGTACTATCTTGTATTAATATTGCTTCAGAATCCTTTTCTTGCTCCAGCCAAAGAAACTACTCCATAATATTCATTTTTACACACAACTTCCTTTAAAAATTATGTTTATTGAAGTGGAAGAACATTACTAGTGGTCATCAGGCATTCAATCCTCCTATATTTCCTAGGCATACAGGAAGCTCTATTACTCACCGTCTTGACATTAATCAAGCAATTAACTATGGCCAATGGAATGTAAGCAGAATTAACCGAAGTCATTTGTTGCCAAAGGCAGTAAAAAGCCCCTGCAAGAAACTTCAGCCCTTTCTTTTCCTGCTAGGGAGACCTAGCAGCGTTATCTAAGCTGATGGAGGACAAAAGTGGAGCACACTAGTTCTCTAGGTCATTGCTTAGAAGATGCTTCTTGGGAGGAAGCCATTAGACCCATAGCAAACCTAGTGTGACTAAAAAATAAACTTGTCGTATATTAAGCCATTACGATTTTGAATTAATTTATTACCAAATTATAGCACAATTTCTCCTAAGAACTACATTAAAGTTTATTTTATAATGAGAATACATAATCTCTGGAGGATTTTTTTTTCCTTTAGTGGTTCACAAAAATGCAGTTACTTGTATAGTCATTTAAAGAGTCTTTAAAACTGCCTTAAGCTGAGAAATGTTGAAACATTTTTACTTTAATCTATTCTATAACCATTCTCCCATACTGGATAATTTATTCAAATGCTATCTCCTCCAAATCTGCAGCAGCAATATTTTCCCCGTGAGTCTTTCCATAGCATTTGCCGAGAAATGAATTTCGGTTTATACCATATTATTTTCCAAGTCATTTCAGCCAATTATGCTGTGGCAAAAGAACAGGTGTTTCCCCAATGATGTATTTTCGTCTTTCCCTATTAGGTTAGAAAACTTCATAAGAAAGTTCTAAATATTTATCTATAAATTCACTAAAAAATTTAAAGTAATGGACTGAGAATCCTATGAATTTAAACATTGTTTAAAAAAGTTGGAGAGGTTTATTTTCATGTTCTGGATACTAGATGTTCACAAGTTTTAAATTCTGAGTAGTTTTCAGGCTTACTATTATAGCTTCATGCTGGTATGTCAAGCTCTAATATACATTTCAGGTGAGATTCATCTTGCAGTGTGTGTGTGTGTGTGTGTGTGTGTGTGTGTGTTTTGCCTGGCTTCTCGTCTGATCTGTTTAGATGGTAATTTTTTTAAATTCAGGTTGTGTGTGATAATGACCTTGTCCTGTATTTTATATTTTATATTCACATCATGATTTCCTTTCAAGAATCATTTTAAGACACTTCTATGTGAGATTTCATCCCGTTATAATTAGATATTATAATCAACGAATCCACCTAACCAAGAATATGTAATTTTAAATATATGACCACACTGAAATTAAATAAATGGATAAAGATGCCTTATCAAGCCTTCCACATTGATGGAACTCTCACACCCTCGGAGGGATACCTCCCATGACAGAGTGAAGGGTGACTCAGTGAGCATCATCATAACCGTCTTCCTTCAATCCCTCCATTTTCTCCAACATTGTAGATGGGGAAAAATAAACCCATTATAAGCCCTTCTTTAATCTAGGGTAGCCATGTGACATTATTCTAGCCAATAGAATATAATCAGAAGTCCCTAGAGAAAGTACCCATTCCTAGATAAAACCTTGCTAGGAGAAGGCTTTCAGTTTGGTGCTTTCCTTTTCTCTCAGCGTGGAACATGGATGGAATGCTTGAAGTGGAAGTAGCAGCAACCATCTTACCTTGAGAAGCCTCACATGCCAAGTCACATGGCTAGGAAGGATCAAGGTGTAAGGACTAAGATCCTGAATGTCTGATTTCAAAACCAAAATGTTCTTACTCCTTTTGGTTTACTACCCACCATAGCAGAGATACAGTGAGCTTCGTGGGAGAGAGAAAATTTCAAATGAAAGAAAACTATAGCAATGGAGAGTCAAGAAATGTCTAACTCGGTAGGACAACAGGATTTTAGGAGAAGGGGTTCCACAACGCAAGGCAAAAAAGCAACTGATGTCCTCAGGACATTTGTGGAAGGAAGGTATTTTGATGAAGCATCTTTATTATTAAATGTGATCACACATAAATTAACTTTGTAGAGATAATCTAATTGTTGGTGAAGCCTTAATTGAATGCAGATTGTTACATGCTCTTTGTACGGCAGGATTTATTGGAAGGACATGAAGTAGAGAAATGATTTGGTATCATTTTGACAAGCATTGTCTACTTATTTAAAAGGTGTGATGACATATGATCCAGCATCAGATCCCTAGATAGGAACCTGTTTTACATATAGGTATATGCAGTTTTTTTTTAAATAAAAATTAACATTTTCTCAATCTTTTCCATTATTTTGCTAAGGATTTTCTTATTGTAGTGTGGGTATAAATTTAACTCTAATTCTAGCCATAAAAACTATTTAAAACGATTTGGCCTCATTGTATGGAATTTAAATTTTGAGAAGTGTTTTTTCTTTTTTTCTATTGTACAAGTCTGGTACATCAGAGAAACAAGTAATAACAGACCAGGTATTTTTTGAAACTTTAATTTACTGGTTTGAGTAGAGCAAGGGCTCATAGAATTCATGAGAAGTAGAAGCTGAGGAAGACTGGGGCCAGGCTGAGATTTAACTGAAGAAATCTTGGAATTAGAGAGGACCATGGATTTCAAGGTTAAGTATGTGATGATCATCATTGAGTCAAAATAGAAAGAATGTAGTGTATTCAACAAGTATTTGTTGAAAATTTACAACTGTATAGGAAATTTGCAATTCTTCTATCAGGAATTATGCTTGACTTTCTGTGCTTTATTATTTTTCAGATATTCCAGAATATAATAAAATCTTGTTTTTATTAAATCTGCAACCAACTTCTAAATATCCCAACCCCTGAGCAGTGATGAGCAGAAGACTAAAGCTATATTGTTCCAAATCAAGTCAGAAATGAGGAGAAATCAGGAGAATAAGGTCCTCTGTGGAAAATTCCCTGGCATTAGTTTCATGAAGCTGAATTTTGAGCACTGATAATAGGAACACTGCTGCCAACCTAGATATCACGGCACACAGGTAGATTTTGAAAGACATCCAGACCGCGTACCTCTTAGCAATTTGTAGCTGGTGTTTAGCACCTGATGTTATATTCTGACGTACACCCAGAACCTGGTCACGACATACTGTCTGCCACCTTAACCATTTCAAACTCTTGGGCTCTGTGCCAGATGCCAAACTGGCAAACTGTAGACAAAAAAATTCCATAATCCAATTATGGAAGTATAAGCCAGGTGAGTCTAACTTGGAGTTTGAATCACAAAATTTCAATAATTTCCTTCCCATTTCATTCTATCTAAAGGCTTCTCAACTTTGTGGCTATTAACATTTAGGCTGGGAAGTTTTTTTGGCTGTGGGAGGTTATCTGTACATTGTAGTGTATTTAAAAGCGGCATCTCTGGGCTCTACTCACCTGAGGCCAGTAGCAACCACCCGAGTCATGTTGATCAAAAATACATGGGAACACTGACAGAAGAGACTTGGGGACAAAATTGTACCCCATCCTCACTTAGTCAACAACCACTGCTCTGTGCAGAAGTTACACCAATGCTGAAATATTCCAAATAACCGTAGTCCACAGTATCAAGCAGAACACAGAGGTCGCATAGCACAAGGCTCATTCTATTTGACAGCGTGGACACTGCAGGGGATGGAAAGGCCTAATTCTGACAAAGTAAGAGGAATGTAGGCTACATTCAAGGTTTGGAAAGGAGATGTGATAGAAGAAAAGTAGAAACTTGCTACTTTTCTGCAAACTGGTGTGAAGGGAGGGAAGGTGACTGGTATTTGCAGCGTTCAGTGCCAAACCGAACAATGTGCTGAACAAAAAGACTTTTCTTGTTTGTTTAACTTAAGGACTTGTTTTCTCCAAGATAGAGACAGCTGAGCAGGTTTAGAGTCAGAAAAGAGTTAATAAAAGAGTATGTAGGCAGACATGGAAAAGGGAAACAGAAGGGGGAAATGGAAGTTCAACGAAAGGAATGGTAGTTACAGGATGTCTGAAGAGGTGGCTGATGTTATGGAGGACAGAACAACACAGCCAGAAGAATTGAGAATCCAGAACTGGGCTGTGTAATTTTAAGTCTTGGGTTTACTATTTAGATGCATGACATTGGGTTTTGTTTTTTTAAATCTTAGAATTCCAGTTTTCTCATCTGCAAAATGCGGGTCATAATAATTCCCACTCTTCAGCGTTACTGGGATGTGCAAATGTGAATGTCTGTAAGGCATATAACAATGCCTGTACTAAATATGCAGCTATAGAATAATACTGAATGCATGATGAGGTGTCATGGAGCACACAGGGCACACATATGCAGAGTGGCTTCCACAGTGACTGTGATGATCCTGTGTAGTCCGAGCTCAGTGAAAATTAACAAGAAGATATGAGCATGCCCTAGCAGGCAGAAGGAGAGAGGAGGATTAAAGCCTTAATGTGACCACAGACCCAGGATGGACCAATAATCTTTGGCCTTTCTAATGGCTATGCTGGAAATGGGTGAATGCAGAGGAGGAATGCAATAGCTAATCTGCCAGGAGCATTGAAAGTGAGAGACGACAGGTAAGTAGCTAAGGAAATTGTGGGAGTTGGGGCACCAAGGCCATGGTCTTTCTTAACAGAGGAGCAAGGAGAAATGTCTGGTGACTCTATGGTCCAGGTGTGGTTCACAGTGTCAGAACATGCATTCTCTGTGGAGATGGGGCTTGGAGTTAAAATCTCAGCCCTTAAAATATCATCTCTCCCATATAAGTGCCCAATACATAGCTGTTCAGTGGACAATTGAATAGGTAAGGGAAACTAGTAGCTTCTTTCTGATGTAAACTCTTCTTGCAAACCTTTAAAATCTTCATAGCCATTACATTTTACCTTTTATGGCTATTTACATATGTGATAGTTAATTTTGTGTCAACTTGACAGTGCCACAGGGTGCCCAGATATTTGATCAAACATGATTCTGGGGGTCAGAGGTTTTAGTTGAAACCAGCATTTGAATAGGTAGACTAAGTAAAGCAGATTGCCCTCCCTGCTGTGGGTGAGCCTTATCCAGTCAGTTGAAGGCCAATTTCAGATCTTGGGACTTCTACCTCCATAATCGCTTGAGCCAATTCCTTATAATAAATCCCTTTACACACACACACACACACACACACACACACACACACACAGAGTTGACACTTGCATACAGGTTTGAACTGCATAGATCCACTTATATATGGATTTTTTTCTGCCTCTGCCACCCAAGACAGCAAGACCAACCCATCTTCTTCCTCCTTCTGCCTATTCAATGTGAAGATGAGGATGAAGACCTTTATGATTACTATTAAATGAAAACGGATAAATATGTTTTTTCTTCCTTATGATTTTCTTAATCCTTTCTTCTAGCTTACATTATTGTAATAACACAGTATATAATACATATAACATATAAAATATGTGTTAACTGACTTATTGGTAAGGCTTCCAATCAACAGTTAATTTTTAGGGGAGTCAAAGTTATACACAAAATTTCACTGCTCAGGGTGGCTGGTATCAGTGCCCTAACCCCCTCATTGTGCAGGGGCCAACTCTACATCTACATCTGTCTCCTGTTTTTCTAGAGAACCATGACCAATACACACATTTTGCCTGTTATTATAATTACTGTATATTTGCCTCAGTTCTTTCACCAGATTCTACATCTGAGATAGTTGACTATAACTTTTTCAGTTTTTTGTCTCATATGACCTTATTTTTAATAGCCACACATCTAGACATTTGTAGAATTAAACGCAATTTCAAAGAATAATGGTGAAAAAAAGACACAAAGCTACAATGTCAGATTGGCTGGAGAGTCACAATTTGGTGAAGTGTTTCTTAAACTGGAATCCACTGATGTATTCAAAAAGTTGAGAAAAAAAATTCCTTTAATTTGCTATTTTAATAATCTACAATAATATTTTATCAGTTACAAGGACAGACTTGTCTTTTGTGGTGAAAAGCACAACTGAAAGATATTTTGATAGACCCTGAGCTCTTAAGTCAGTGCCTCTATGACTTCTCAGGCTTTTTATTCCTATTAAAGGAGTTACATTATTCAAATTTAAGAAAATTTTGGTTGGAGAAAGAACCCCAGGATGGATATCAGGAGAGCAGTTTCTAACTCTGGCTCTGCCAACATTGTGCAAATTATTCTAGACCTAAATTTTGGTGTTTTTTTAAATTAAAACAAAGGGTTTAAATTTGATGTTTTCTGAGTTTCTCTCTGCTTCAAATGTCTAAGAATGTTGAAATTAGCAGGGAAAAAGGAAAATATAAGTGTGAACAAGATAGTACATATTTCAAAAAAAAAGTATCAACTATAGCTATAGAGTAATTACTATATATCAGGCATGATTCCAGGTACTTGATATTCATCAATGTACAAATTAAAATCCCTGCCCTCAGGAAGCTTGCATAAAGGGCATATTTGGGTGAATGAGTGGGTTAAAAAGAAAACAAACAGTGAAATAAATAAATTCACATATGACCTAGAAGAAATATGTGAATTCATATTCAGTGGAAAACTATGCACTACCTAGAAGATATCTGCTTCTAGTCATTCACTGTCTTTGAGCACTTTTACAGATCTTTAAGTTGTAGATAACAGAGAGCAATGTAAAACAATTCTTTTACAGAGGGTCCCTGATTTAGGATAGTTCAACTTACTATTGTTCAACTTTAAGAAGGTGCAAAAGCTACATACATTCAATAGAAACCAAACTTAGAGTGCTCAGATAACCATTCTGTTTTTTCACTTTTAGTATTCAATAAATTTTAAGAGATATACAACATTGTATTATAAAATAGGGTTTGTGCTGGATGATCTTACCCAAATGTAGGCTAAGATAAGTTTGTGAACACATTTAAGATAGGCTGTGCTAAGCTACAACATTTGGTAGGTTAAGGGTATTACATGCATTCTCAACTTATGACATTTTCAACTTATGAGTTTATTGAGGTGTAACTCTTGTAAATTGAGGAGCATCTGTATACCTGAAGTTTAGTGAGGTAAAATTGACTTCTCCCTCATCTCTCCCCACCCCAAATAAAAAGCCAGTTTAGTCTCCATTTGCACATTCATTTCAGTGTTCCTGATCTATATATAAATTTGCCAGATCTACAGATTGTCCTTTGAACTCGTCTTAACATCTGCTTGGATGTTAATTAAGGGATAAAATAGAATCTTTAAAATGCTCATTTTTATTTATGAGGGTTATGATTTTTACCTTTCTCTGAAAGTTATCTTTTAGTCATAAATAAAGTCTACAAAGAAAATAAACCAGATGAATGTGGCGGAGTGTTATGAGGTGAGCTGAGGGGCTGAACAGCTTCACATCTGCTCATCAGGAAAGTCTTCTTGCAGGAGGGAGACACTGAACTGGAATGTAAATGATGACAGTAGCATCTCTGAGAGGCCATGGGGAGGAACATTCCAGGAAGAGGCAGCAAGAGAGACAAGGATCCTGAGGTGAGCATTTCTTTGCTGGATTCAGGGTATCAGAACACAGCCAAGACTTGAGACTAGTACACACTGCATGAAGGGAATATGACATAAGGTGAGGACAGAGATATGGACAATTGCCAGATGTTTAGGGCATCAAAGGCCATGATACGGTGTTTGGGTTTTATTCTCAATGCAATTGGGAAGACATAGGAAAGAAATGATCTGAATTCCATATTCGAAAGAACTTCCTGTAGCCAAGACACTTGATTTACTGGTTGATCTGTATCACTTGTTTAGTCCTCAAGCTAATTCTATGGGGCAAGCATTCTGATTTTCCCCCACCTCATAGATAAGGAAAATGAAGCTCAGAGGGTAAGTGGGCAGCTAATATCTACAAGGCAATGACTGTAATCCGTCAATGTAAATAGGTGTTTGCATAATATTGGTGATTAAGTTGTGAATGAGTTCAATCTTTTATCAACAATACTTTTCTGAACCATTGAATTGAATTAGGTTTTATAGATTTACTTTACAGAGTTTCTTATCCTTTTTCTTTTAAGGTTATTTTCTGGCTCTCCTTTCAGGAAATATTTGTAAAGTTTGTTGAGGAATTTGAGTTAACACTACTATTGAATCAATGCTAGCTATTAAAGCCTTGGGAAGCTTATCCAACTTCTGTATTGTTTCTATCAGTTTTTATTTGTGTATATAATGAACCATAGTGTAACTAGCATATAGTCTTACACACAGCAGATGCTTACTTACTCACTACTCATATAATGCAGTTACACTGGCACATTTCTTCTCTAAACTACTTACCATGTCAGCAACAAATAAAATGCATCTTTTTTTTTTTTTTTGAGATGGAGTCTCACTTTTGTCACCCAGGCTGGAGTGCAGTGGCAGGATCTCGGCTCACTGCAACCTCCGCCTCCCAGGCTCAAGCGATTCTCTTGCCTCAGCCTCCTGAGTAGCTGGGATTACAGGCTCATGCCACCACGCCCAGCTAATTTTTGTATTTTTTAGTAGAGACGGGGTTTCACCATGTTGTCCAGGCTGGTCTCAAACTCCTGACCTCAGGTGATCCACCGGCCTTGGCCTCCCAAAGTGCTGAGATGACAGGCGTGAGCCACCACACCTGGCCTTGCAATGCATCTTAGTCTTATTTGTAATAGCTTTTAGGTTGGGTTTGCGATTTAATGGCTATGTGAATGATTTATTTTTTCCCCCTAATTTAGTGAATCTATTACAAACTGTATTATTCTCACTGATAGTTCACAATTTAACGTTTACAATACTCTCACTATTGGAGTAGAAAAATCGCATTTTGGAAACAAAGGAAAAAAAAATCAGTGGATTGGTTAAGTCAAGTCCCACCCAATGAGCTATGCTGAGAAGACTTGTCTATCTTTGCAACTTCTTTAGATACTGTAACTTTTTATTATATATAATTCCTTTATCATGATGATGTGCTTTTGCTGTTGACTGGGAATATAATCCGCTCCCATTTCAGCTAATTTTCCATGGACCAATTTAGATGCTTTCCCATCTCAAAATACGAAAGGTTTTGAAGTCTGACAAGACAATAACAATTTGGACACACACTGAAATGAACCACCAGTGGTTTCCCAGAAGAACTGCAATGACTATTTTGTGTGGAGAACATTTCTCCCTGAGTCTCCCGAATCATCCAGCTTGGCCACATCCCAATTGTTCTTTCAGCAAAAATAGAGAAAAGGAAAAAACTAGCTAAGCAAAACGTTAAGTACAAGGAATATTTCAGGAAGGGCAGTCAGCTGGAAGTTTTCAGTCAAAACTATCAGCTTTTTGGATCCAAAAGGTTTAGGGATTTCAACCTTACAAGGGAAAATAACACTAGTCGTCCTGAGCATGTGTGTGTTTATGTTAATACAAACACACTAATTGTGCATCTTTCTTCTACTTTAAATAAGTTTTCCAAGCAGATGGTCGTGATTAAGCAGATACCTTCCACACTCACAGTGGCCTGGTGAGAAACAAAAATAACACACTAAGCATATTAAAATGTATAAATATTTTCTCATACTGATTTTATTAGCTGAGCATCTCATATGCGTGTTGCCTCTAATTCAGCACAATAGGTTTATTTTCATAGATTCTGTTTTTCTCTTCAGGCTAGGCAGAATTCCTCTGAGGTGAAGACACATAATCCCTTTAGACTCTTGGGTCACCCCAGGGACGGAGTGCTTTTATTGCTTGCTCAAGCTTTAAAAGAGCTGCTTGTTAAGCCTAAGAGATCAGAATACTATCCTTAAAAAACCCTCAAATAGGGCAGGCACCCTTCATCATATGTGCTATGCTAATCTTCCCGGGAGAAAAAAAAACCCATTGAACTAAATGCCTTTTTTGGAGGGCGGGGGGAGGCAAATAAAGCAGAGTTTAAAAAATGAAAGGAAAAATAGTGGCTTCTCTTCTGCCTAGAACGGGAAGGCTTTAACTCCATCATTCTACCCAGGTGAACTAAAACAGTTACATATTAGTATATCAGTCATCATTTTTAGAAGTTAACCTACTTCTGGTTTTTGTTCCACGTCAGCTTAGACTACAAGAAGCCCCATAACTTAAAGTATCAAATAGTAAGAAAACATTATAAACTGAGTCAAAACAATTGTTTCAACTAGATGAGACTTAAGGTCAGATAAATGTATTATTTTAAAAATAGTAAGAGTTATAACTGATAACAGCATTAATTACTAACAGTCCTTTAAAAATCCTTAATGCATTAATAATGCATATTTTATGTGATTGTTAATTACTTAAGACATCTTTTTAGGGTCCTGAAATTACATGCGCCAAGCACCTGTTACATGGCTTCTTTGAAGGTTAATGAAGCAGAAAAATGGAGTTCAAATACACGGAGAGAAATATAATGAAGGAAAAAGAGGAATAGACTAGCCTTTTAGAAGCACATAGTGAAAAAACATCTAATGATCTTTTATTGTGTTGACATGTATTTTAGGTTTAAAAAGAAACTATTAGAGTCAATCATTATATTATGTTTTACAACCCTTACCTATTTTAGGCCTCCAAACCGTTTTTACCTGTGATTTAAAAAATAACTTAGAACTGCACTTCTGCCATTCACTGGAGCTGATTTGCACTCTGAACTCTGTTCTAACCTAATCAGGGCCCCACTTTCTCATTGGGTAACCAAGCAAAAACATGAAAGCGGTGAGTTGTACACAAAGACACATGAGGGCCAAATTGTCTTAAGTTTCCAGAATGGCCAGTGAAGATGGCAGCAACTTCTTGCTACATTTTGATGGATCCCTGGCATGGAAAAGCAAGATGATCCCTTATCCTAGAACTATGTACTGTCCAACAGTGGCATCTTTGTGATAAGATGTTTCCACTTTCAAAGGAAGCTATGCAGGCAGCTTCCAGAATCCTGTGTATCAAAGTATTTCGGTTGGTGCAAAAGTAACCGTGTTTTTTGCCATTAAAAGTAATGAAATCATTTTTAGGTTGGTGCAAAATTGTGGTTTTTATCATTCCTTTTGCACCAACCTAACAAAACACGAAACACATCATTTGATAAGATACAAATATCAAGCCTGAACTTAATTAAAAATGCTTACAATGTGACCAATTTAGAGACTATCTTATGAACAAGAACAGACATCTCTTATGGAAATAAGAGCTTAGGTTTATATGGATTTAAACTTTTTGAAGCAATTTTACATTTTATTGCATTTGATTCTTCTATCTGTGAGGATTGTTGTAATGACAAACCACAGAGAATATCATTGGCTTAAAACAGCACGGGTGTTATTTCTTGCTCATGTTACTTTTCATGGATCACCTGAGGAGAGCCACTTGCCCTCTATTACCCTCACTCAGGTATCCAGGCCAAGGGAAGCTCCATCTCTGTGCTTCTGTGATTGCGAAGTCGGGGAAAGGGAGCATGCTGAGTGGTACACTAGCTGTATCTTCTTGAAAGTGATTCAGGTCACTTCTGCTCATTGTTTGTGAGCCAAAGCAAGTCCCATGGTTCCTTCTTCAAAGGAAGTGAGGAACTTAAACCAGCTCTATTCCTGGAAACAAAACAACCCGAATGTGTAGGAGAGATCAACAACTACCACATTCTTCTTAATAGCTCTATGAGGAAATACAGTCCTGGAAACCAGGCATTTTTTCCAAAGACGAAAGTAGACAATGGATAGGCAACTACACGGGGAAAGCCTCTTCTTTGCTGGTATCATCTCACTATGCCATTGTAAACCAAAAATAAAATCCCAAGACCCCCAACCAATTAAATGGACCCCTCCTCTTGGGCAAGAGTGTTCCTAAATATATCTGAAAAACTAGTTTAGGCCATGATGAGAAGGGGGATCGACATACCTCATTAAACTCCCATCCCTTTGGAATTCAAGCACAGCTCACCAGCATTTAACATTAAAATGGAGACCTTAAGACTGACAAAGCAAACACTTTGTGGCAATAAGATACCAAGTGACAGATAGCAGGCCCTAAAAGAAATCAAAGTATTTAACCCTAAAATTTATTTCTTTGACATATTTTGAAATGGCCCTGCAAAGTTGTCTCTTGTAGGGAAAATCTACGTTCTGTAGAGAACCCACTTCCCTTTCCAGGCCTTTTTCCTGATCCAAGAGAGAATTAATTAAGAGTCTGGCATCTTTTTAAGTCTGATAAGAAACATTTACTATCTATTCTCTCTGAAGCCTGCTACCTGGAGGCTTCATCAGCATAATAAAAACCTTGGTCTCCATAACTCCTTATCTTAACCCAGACACTCCTTTCTATTGATTCCAGGTCTTTAGATAAACTCTTTTAACCAACTGCCAATCAGGAAATCTTTGAATCCCCCTATAACCTGGAAGTCCCCATGCTTTCAGTTGTTCCCCCTTTCTGGACCAAATCAATATTTATATTATGTGTATTGACTGATGTCTTATGTCTCCCTACAATGTGTAAAACCAAGCCATAGCCAGACTGCTTTGGGCACATGTTCTCAGGACCTCCTGAAGCTGTGTCATGTCTATGTCCTTAAGCTTAGCAAAATAAACTTCTAAATTGACTGAGACCTGTCTCAGATACTTTTGGTCAACACCACAATGTGTAAAATTTTATTCCTCCTTTCTTTAGGCTGAACAATGCCTTGCTTAACACAAAAATACCTTTCTTAACATCCTGTTGTGAATTGTTAGATGATGGGAATATACTCTTCAAGATGAACATGAAGCACAGTCATGATACAAAAATCAAACTATTAAGTGGTGCACCCCAGCCTGATTCAGTAGGAAGGGATTTCTGGCCTACAGCATAGGAGGTCTCCATGACTTTTGTAGTATGGAGTGGAAAGATGGGTAGGATGGGAGTTGGGAGGCTCTTTTTACCAAAAGGCAGGACAGTCCTAGGGGGAAAAAAAAGAAAAAAACACCTCTGTGGACATTTTTGAAGATAATACATTATGAAAAAGTTAAGTAATGTGTCCTTCTTAAGTAATATTTCTTAGAACTTTATAAAGCAAATTAAAAACAAAGTAAGAATTAAACAGATGATGCGTGTAAAAACTGCGAACTTGCAGAAAAAAAAAAAAGACTGAGAATTTTCTTGAAATAGCTGTGCTAGCCCTAGTCAAGTAATTGACCATTCCAGTGAAGCTTAATTTGGGACACTAAATTTGGAATCAGGACCATGAAAGAAAAGTTGACAGATGGGACTTGGAGACATACTTCTACTGAACACACTGAAGTATCTAAGAATTGCAAGTTGATACCAACATTGTGCTGTATATTATTTATATAGCACATATATATACTTTCTTACATTGACAAGGTGCTTTGATATTTTGATCATAAAACTTTTTTGAATGAAGCCTTCATGAAGTCCCATATTCCTGACTTTTTGCTAGCATTCTCATAAAATCCTGTCATATTTTTAATTCATAGTTTCTAGCCATCTTTTTGGCTTTAACACTCAAAAGCTCCATTGGAAAGCTTTTTCCAGGTTGAAGGAATTGCTTTATTGCCCTTCTATTCCTCTTGCCATGTAAAGACAAAGTGTTAATCTCCTCCAGAGGATTCACCAATAAGGCACCATGTTAAAAATGAAGACCAGGTCCTTATCAGACACTTAATTGATCAGTTCCTTCATCTTGAACTTCATCTCTAGAACAATAAAAGTTTATTTTGTATAAATTCCTAGTCTCTGGTATTTTGTTACAGTAGTGCAAATGGACTAAGAAACTGATACTAGGAGTTGGGTGTTGCTGTAACAAATACCTGAAAATGTGGGAACATATTTGAAACTGGGTCATGGGTAGAGGCTGGAATGGTTCTGAAATGAATGCTGAAAACCTGCTATATTGCTATGACAGAAAATTAAGGGTGATTCTTGCAAGACCTCAGAAGAACAGAAGAGCTACAGAGACAGTCTCAGTCTTAGAGAACATCTAAATGGTCTTGAACAGAATGTTGGTAAAAATATGGACAATAAAGGCCATTCTGATTAGGTCTTCATAGGGAAATGAAGATTATCTTATTGGGAACTGGAGGAAAGTCCACTCTTGTTACAAAATGTGGTAAATAACTTGGCTGAATTGTGTCCGTGTCCCTTCTGCTTTGGGAAAGGAGGAATTTAAGAGTGATAAACTAGGTTATTTGGCATGAGAAAACTTTAAGCAAGGTGTTGAGGGTGCTGCATGGTTTCTATTATCTGCTTATAATAAAATGCAAACAGAAATTAGTTAAATATGGAATTTATTATCAACAGAGAAACCAACCAAAGACTTAGAAAATTCTCAGCCTGGCCATATAAAGAATAAAAAGTGTTCAGAAAAGGAAACCAAGGGTGTGGTAAAGTTACCCTTTGATAGATTCCTATAGACAGAAGGAAGCCAGTGCTACTCATTAAGACAATGAAAGAATGTCCCCAAAGGCATCTCAGAGATCCTTGAGGCTGCCATGCTCATCACTGGCCCAGAAGTACCAGGTCTCTGAGGGAAGAATTATTTCAAGGAAAAAGCCTAGGGCCCCCATGCGATCTCAGAGCTATTTGCACATGTTCATATCAAGTCTCTGTCCCCACACTCTGGTGCAGTGCCCCTTGGCAGCCTCAGCTGTGGCCCAAGAAGGCCCAGGTATAGCTTGAGCTGCAACTCCAGAGGGTACAAGATGTAAACCTTTGCACCATCCACATGATGCCAACTCTGAAGGTGCATGGAGTGTTGAATTCAACAGAACATTAGAAGGATCCTATACTACGAACAAGTGGAATGTATCCCTAGGATGCCAGGATAGTTTAGCAGAAATAAATATAAATAAATACATGTGATATACCACAGTAACACAATGAAGGACAAAAACAATATGATCATCTCAGTAGATTCAGAAAAAACATTTGACAACACCCAGCATCCTTTTATGATAATAATTCTCAACAACTTAGGTATAGAAGTAATGTACCTCAACATAATGAAGGTCACATATGCTAAACCCACACCTAATGTCATCCTCAGCAGGGAAATGTTGAAAGTTTTTCCTCTAAGATCAGTAACAAGACAATACTCTTACCTCCTCTATTCAACATAGTACTGAAAGATCTAGCTAGAGAAATCAAGCAAGAGAAAGAAAAAAATGGCATCCAGATTGGAAAGGAAGAAATTAGATTGCTCCTGTTTTGGGGTGACAGTAAATAGAAAACCCTAAAAACTCCACAGAAAGTATTAGAACTAACAAATTTAGTAAAGTTACAGGATACAAAAACCAGCAAACAAAAAAACAGTAGCATTTCTATACACTAACCAAAAGATAAATCAATAAAAAACAATACAAATTTACACTAGCCACTAAAATTAACTAAAATACTTAGGGACAATTTCAGCCAAGGAGGTGAAAAATCTATAGACTGAAAACGATAAAACACCGATGAAAGAAATTGAAGAACACACAAATAAATGAAAATGCATTCCATGGTCATGGATTGGAAGAATATTAATATTATGATGCCTATACTTACCCAAAAGAAATCTACAGATTCAATGCAATCCCTGTGAAAATGCCAAAGATGCTTTCCACCAAAATAAAAAAAAATTCTAAACTTTGTATGGAACCACAAGAGACCCCAAATAGCCAGAACAATCTTGAGCAAAAGAACAAAGCTGGAGATACCACACTACCTGACTTCAAAATTTACTACAAAACTATGCTAATGAAAACAGCATGGAACTGGCATAAAAACAGGCATGCAGACCAATGGAACAGAATAGAGAGCTCAGAAATAAATCCACACTTTTACTGTCAATTGACCCAACAGCTTCCAGGAACACACCGTGGAGAAAGAATAGTGTCATTAAATGATGTGGGACAACTAGATTTCCATATACAGAAGAATGAAATTGATTTTTATCTTATACCATGTAAAAAGTCAACTCAAAATGGATTAAAGACTTATAAGCAAGACCTGAAACGATAAAACTACTAGAAGTAACCATACTGGAAAATCTCCGTGACATTGGTCTGGGCAATGATATTTTCAAGGTGAACCCAAAAGCACAGGTAGCAAAAATAGATGGGTGGGACTACAAACTAAAAAGCCTCTGCATAGCCAAGGAAAGAATCAGAGTAAAGAAAACCTATAGAATGGGAGAAAATATTTGCAAATCATATACTTGATAAGGTGTTAATATTCGAAATATATAAGAAACTCAATGTAAGGAAACAACTCAATTTTTAAATGGGCAAAGGATCAAAACTAGACATTTCTCAAAAGATGACATACAAAGGTCCAACAGGCATATGAATAAATGCTCATCACTAATCCCAGAAAAATGCAAATTAAAACCACAATGAGATATCACTTCCTTCCTGTTAGAATGACTCTTCTCAAAAAGACAAAAGATACTAAGTACTGGTGAGGATGTGGAGAAAAGGGAACCTTTGCACAAGGTTGACCTAATCAGAATGGCCTTTACTACTGTTGTAGAGGGCCCTCAAAAAAATAAAAATATAACTGCAATATGGCCTAGCAATCCCACTACTGGGTATACAACCAAAGGAAATGAAATCAGTATGTCAAAGAGGTACCTGCCCTTCCATTTCACTGAAGCATTCTTCACAATAGGCAAGATATAGAGTCAACATAAGTGTCCATCAGCAGGTGAATGGATCAAGAAAATGTATATGAGCCTGAGAGTTTGGAATGAACCAGTCACACATGTGTATTCTGGTGAAGAGTGATAGAATCCTTTATATCAGTCACCTGGCCTAGAAGAGTTATATATGACTTTTTTTAACCTTAAAAATGAAGGACATTCTGTCATTTGAGACAGCATGGGTTAACCTGGCAGGCAATACATTAAGTGAAATAAAACAGGTACAGAAAGACATATATGATCTCACTCACATGTGGAATCTGTAATTGAATTCAGAAGTAGAGAGGAGAACAGTGGTTACCCGAGGCTGGAGTGTGAGTGGGTGTTGGGGAGATGTTCGTCAAATCACACAAAATTTCAGTTAGGAAGAATGAGTTCTAGAGATCAATTAACCATAGCATGGGGACTATGGTTAATTATAATGTATCATATTTTTGAAAATTCCTGAGTAGATTTTGTTCTCACCACAAAAATTTGAAGTAATGAACATTAGTTCAATTTAGCCATTTCACAATGTACACAGATTTCAAAATAACATGTAGTACATAAGTACTATATACCATCTTTGTCAAATATTCTCAGATGGTATTCTTGTAACCAAGCGAGTTATAGAGAAACGCCACACTTTGAGACTAATTCAGGAGTCCTTTATTAGCCGGCGACTGAGAGATGGCTAATACTTGAAATTCTCTCGGCCACAAAGAAAGGGCTAGATTTTCTCTTATACTTTCATTTAGAGAGGGCAGGAGGAACTGAGCTGAAGCAATCTTACAGAAGTAAAACAGGCAAAAAAAAAATGGAAAAGACAAATGGTTACAGGAAAACAAAGTTCCAGGTGCAGGGGCTTTAAATTCATCACAAGGTGATAGGTGTGGGGGCTCCGGACACAAACGCGGGGGCTTTATTATACTATCACCCGAGCGAATTCCTGGGAACTGTGGACACAGCTTGCCGCAGTACCTTATCAGTTAATTGCACTCTTTGATGTGCTGAGAGTCAGCTTGCACAAGTTAAGTCCTTGAGGAAGGGGGTGGGTAAGGAGATCTTAATGTCTTGCAAATGAAGGAGCCAAATGGAATCTGTCTGGCTTTTTCAGCTAAGAGTCAATCAAGCTAATACAAGTTAGGGTATCACAGTATGTATTTTATAAAAGTTAAAATACATTTTTAAAATGTATTGCTGCAGCATACTTGTGCCTGTTTACTTTAGTGACAGCCTTATTTTGAATTTTTGTATAAAAATAGGGAGGTAATTTATATCCTTTACTCTTGGCACCATGCCCAATTGAAGTCAGAAGACCATCAGGATTTGAGTTCTGGTTTTGTCACTTACATGCTGTTGGATCTACCCCTAGCCATTGACGAGATCAATTTTCACACACATCAAAATAAGAATATCTGCCATGCCTTAGCTAGCTTGTGTTGTGAAGGCTAAGTAAGTTTAAAATCATAAAAATGGAAACTTCTAATGTGTTTTAGAATTTTAAACTAGGCCGGGCGTGGTGGCTCACGCCTGTAATCCCAGCACTTCAGGAGGCCGAGGCGGGTGGATCACAAGGTCAGGAGTTTGAGACCAGCCTGGCCAACGTGGTGAAACCCCATCTCTACTAAAAATACAAAACTTAGCCAGGTGTGGTGGTGGGTGCCTGTAGTCCCAGCTACTCAGGAGGCTGGGGCAGGAGAATCGCTTGAACCCGAGAGGCGGAGGTTGCAGTGAGCCGAGATCATGCCACTGCACTCCAGCCTGGGTGACAGAGCAAGACTCCATCTCAAAAAAAAATAAAAAAATAAAATAAAATAAGTAAATAAATAATTAAACAGTGACATTTATAGTTTAAACTTAGGTAGGTCTCTTTACCCTGTGGGGTAAAGAATGCACTTTAATTATCATCAGAATTAGAAATATTACTGATATTTTTAGTTCACTTTTGTGGCAGCTGAAAGCTTTGGAGATTAACTGTCTGCATTCTGTGTGGATTATTTGCTATCTTGTTTCTAGTACGTGTTCTTAGTGAGTTCCTGAGACGTTTAACTGTGAACGTACTAAGGGTGAAACAATCAAATGTCTTGTTTCATATGAAATTTAGGACCTAAAATAGGCAGACTTCAGTAACAATCTCTTCTCAAATTCAGTAATAATCTCTTCTCAATTTTTCTCCTAGAGCAAAATTTACTGCTTTATGCAAGCTGAAGAAATACAGAGACAAGCTGCCAAATAAGGTAACAGAAGTATTTTTAAATTGAAATGAAGGAGGCCAGGTGACTGATATGAAAGATTCCTACCACTCTTCGCCAGAATACCCATGTGTAATTGGTTCATTCCAAACTCTTCAAGAAAAGGAATTGAATCCTGGAAGAAATGTCACTGAAACAAAATATTTAAAAAAATTTCTCAGGGATCAAAAAAGCATGTTGAACATAAAGTATTTGCAGGTAGATTTTTTAAAATACAAATTTCAAAAATATATGTAATGTCCATGGGGAGAAAGATTACTATTTAAATATAAGATATTAGATTCTTCTTCCTAAATCTTATTATTGGATTAACAGATTCCAGCACTTAACACTAAATGCCGCCTGGATAAGAAGGGATACTCCTTAATGTGGTTTACCTTGTTTCTTTACCTGTAACATAACTATAATGTTTATTTTCCTTTTTTCCTGTAGTTTCTTGCCTAAGGGTAATGTTTTATCCTTCACTAAAACAACAAGATCGTGACGCTTCTTATTTCTGATGGAAAGCAATCAATTAAAGGGCCTTTGATTTCTAGTCTCACCCAAGAAAATCATGCTTCACATTTCAAAAGAAAAGCAGACTAAAATTTTCAAATACGCTTTCTCCATTCCTGAAAATTTTACTTGGGCAATTCCAGTAATAAGACAATCATCACATGGGTGCTTTCAGCAAATAACCCAAGGACGGAAATAGGAGCTGCATTTTCACTAATGCATGAGAGCTACAAGAGAGCCGAACTCTACATGGGTGAGACTTCCAGAGAAAACAGTTTTAATACTTATAGAAAGATGAGGCTATTATCACAGTCAAACTCCAAATGTATTTAGTGTCAGCTGGACTTGAAAGCAAAGCCAGCCTCCTCTCTGCCACACACCCACATACAGCTGTAGTCAATTCCCTTTAGATTTTGCTTCCTCAATGCTTCTAACATCAACCCCGCTCCTGCCTGTCTCCAGTTCAGACTGCTGCTACACGTGCAAGTTCAGGCTTTTCCCATTTCTGTTTTTGCTCATGCTGTTTCTTTCATCTAGAATCCCTTCAGACTTGTCTGTTGAACTCCTACCTAAGTTCCTTTAAGAGTTAATTATTCTGCCCTGCTGCACCCCCAGCCCTCCCGCAACACACACACACACACCCCTCCCTCCCCACCTTCTACTCTCTCACTAGGGCACTAGATAGCCCTCCAATGTCTTAATGACTTTTTTGGAGCATTCAGCATATTCTGACTTCATTTCTCTTAAATCATTTTCCTGCCACTCAAAAGCCTTTCCTCATTCCTCATTCCTGAACTAGAAGCTTTATTTATCTCACAGACCTATGCTTCGTGCTACTACTTTCTGCAACTTGGGCTGAAATTCCCACCATTCTTTTAACAAATATTTATTAAAAGCATACTAGCTAAAAAAAAATTCATACTTAATTGACTCCCTTGGAAGAGATGGCCAACCTGGTGCTTTACAGAGGGGAGATTCTGTTAGATGCCTGAGGGTCACTCAGGAAGAAAGGATTCTTCTTTTCTCCAGCCCTCTAATGAGTTACAGATTATCTTAATAGTTTATTATTGCTTTAGATGACCTAGCTGTGGGGATAAAATCCAGGACAGGCCAGGTGTGGTTGCTCAAGCCTGTAATCCAGCACTTGGGGAGGCTGAGGTGGGTGGATCCCGACTCAGGAGTTCAAGACCAGCCTGGGCGACATGGTGAAACCCTTTCTCTACTAAAAATACAAAAATAACTGGGCATGGTGATGTGCACCTGTAGTCCCAGCTCCTCAGGAGGCTGAGGCAGGAGAATTGCTTGAACCCGGGAGGCGGAGTTTGTAGTGGGCAGAGATCACGCCACTGCACTTCAGCCTGGGTGACAGAACAAGACTCTGTCTCAAAAAAAAAAAACCACCACCACCACCGAAAAAACCCCAAGACAGTTGTTTTAACAAAACAATGGAGTTTGAGGGTTCAAGGAACATAATAGCCAAATTCTGAGTGTCTGCAGTCATAGAGAGCAGAAGGTGTTAGGAGAGAACAGTAAAAAGCAAGGTACTGGATAATGGATTGTCTAGAAAAGGATAGGGGTGTGGCGAGGAGATGCTGTCAAATGAATTGGGAAAAGCCGAGGATAGGAGGGGGAGAGATAGGAGAGAAAGACAAAGTCGTGCATGTAAATATGTACTACACATTTTGATTAGAATTAAATCTGGCCCTAAGAAGAATGTTTAAGAAGAGAGACATTGTCAATAATCAATACTATGAGTGTGTATCAATGACTCGGGAAACATATCTGTGCAGAATACACCCACAGAGATTCTAATTCAAGTGCGTGGGGTGGGGCCAAGGAATCTGAACTTTGAATAAGCATCCCAAGTGATTGAGACATGTGGTCCAAGGGCCACCCTTTGGAAACAGTAGTAGAGACTGTAAGGTTTTGCTTTCAAAACATAACTCAGATCCCAGCACCTACTAGTTAGATTCATGGGCAGTCTGCCCATGAATCTGATGTCTGAGTAGCCGGAAAATATCTAGATAGCTTCATGCGTGGATTGCTCACTATTCTTGTTGTCACCAAAGGTCCAACTTAAGAGAAGAATCTATAGTTTTGATACATTTAAGTCTTAAGTTCCCATATCCGTTCCATTTAGGACTGCTACATGTTCTCAGCTAAAGAGTATGGCATTTTTCTTTCATATTTGCAGTTGCTTAAAATTCAACATCGCATGTAGTTTTCAGTAGTAAAGGCTCTACAGATGTCCCAGTGATAATTCATAAACTCACAAGAGCCAAACATGCAAGTACAAACATAATTCGTTAGCTTTTTGACTTTTAAACCATACCCAGAAAGCACAATTAAGTCTCTGTACAGTAATTTTCTCATGAAAAATGGCCAGTAAATTCTTCCCATAGATAATTTATTTTAGTGTTATTGATTTTTTCCCCTCCTAAAAAGCTGTATTGAAACAACAGCCATTAAGGCTTATAGAGCTTTGCAACATCTGGTTATGATTGCAGACAATTGCTCCATTCCTTTTTCTTGAGGCAGCAAATAATACCGTTGAGAACACCTTCATTAGCCGCCTACTATTTCCCTTTCAGATGGCACCTGGGGAAAGGCTTGCAAAAGAGATAAAGAAATATCTGAAGGCAAAGCAATGGTTATTGTCCATAAATTACTTATGTCATTTACCCAGAGTCTGCTCCCTGGTGGTGTGTTAGAAGAACACTTTGCTTCTATGTTCATTACTTGAGATAGCTTTGGCCAACGCATTTAGTGAATTAAATGCATCCATTTTTCAGCTAGACGCATACTAGCACAATCTTCCACTTAAACAATTTGGTGTAAGTAAACTTCATCAATATATTTTTTTGAGACAGAGTCTCACTCTTTTGCCCAGGCTCAAGTGCAGTGGCGCGATCTTGGCTCACTGCAGCCTCCTTATCCTGGGTTCAAGCTATTTTTATGCTTCAGCCTCCCAAGTAGCGGAGATTACAGGCATGCACCACCGTGCCCAGCTAATTTTTGTATTTTTAGTACAGGCGGGGTTTTGCTATGTTGGCCAGGCTGGTCTTGGTCTCAAGTGATCAGCGTGCCTCGGCCTCCCAAAACGCTGGGGTTACAGGTGTGAGCTACCATGCTCAGCTCATCAATATTATAGTCACTTTTGCTGGCTGAAAGAAACAAACTGACTCTGGCCAATTGAAGTGAAATGATTTTATCAAAAAGATTGGAGTAACTCAGGAAACTTCTTGGAAGGCTTGAGAATGAGGCTTAGCAAATGAGGAAGTACTAGGAAACATCAGGTAGGTGCCAGGACCAAAGGAAATTAAGGGAGAATACTTCTTCCTCTGCCATTGGAGAGGACACAATCCTGGCTGCCACCATCCACACTGGGAAACTTCTGTACAAACTTCTGGTGTGGTTTCTGTACAAATGAATGCATTTCACTGTATGTTGCTGCTTCAAAGTTCAAATGCCAGTAGAATCTTGGTCTGGTTAGCTAAGCCTACATCTCAAGTCTCTGGGCTAGATGATGGCAAGCATGAGACTGAATCTAAATGAACTGGGCTTTCCAAATCTCTAGAAGGATGCAGGCTCTGTCTCTCACCAAGATACATAGTGGAAACCTAAGAAGGTTCAGAGGCTGGACAGTCAAAAAATCCTGAACTGTTCACTACATTTAGTGGCAAGACCCAACATGAAGTTTGAATTATGGTTCCCTCAGAAAACATTGACTCAAACAGTTAGTTTTTAACATGGGCTACAACACATCTAAAAGAGTAAAATTAATTACCAAATACCTGTCACAGTATTAGTAGTTTTAAGGAGTGTAAAATGGTAGAGAGTCGGAATTTATGCCCACAAATATAAAGTTTATAAATATACAAACATGTAGCTGAATATTAAAGTTTCCCATTATTCTTTCATCCAATCTGTAATCAACATACATTTTGTGTTTGATAGACCACACACTCCATTAGATACTGGGAAATTAGAGGTGAATTTAACTCTGTTCTTCTCCTTAACGGACCCATTGTAGAAGATGACATAGGTGCAGACACATGGTGCAATGCAGTGGCTTGGGTGCTTTGCGACAGGGATCCCCAACTCCTGGGCCACAGACCCGTATTGGTCCTCAACCTGTTAGGAACTGGGCTGCACAGCAAGAGGTGAACTGCAGGCATGCAAGCATTATCACCTGCGCTCCGCCTCCTGTCAGAGCAGTGGCTGCATCAGATTCTCATAGGAGCATGAACCCTATTGTGAACTGTGCATACGAGGGATCTAGATTGCATGCTCCTTATGAGAAGGTGATGACTAGTGATCTGAAGGTAGAACAGTTTCATCCTGAAACCTTCCCCCGCCACTACCACCGTGGAAAAATTGTCTTCCAGAAAACCAGTCCCTGGTGCCAAAAATGTTGAGGACCGCTGCTTTATGAAATTATGTACCAAGCGTGGTAAAGATAAAAAATGTTGAGAGGTCAAATCTACCTAAGCAGGAAAGACAGACTTCAGGTAAAAAACAATAAACTGTCATAGAAAAGTTAGAAGGGTTCTCCTGGGAAACTAAGAGAATGGATTTCCAGGCATAAGACACAGAAGCAATTCAATGTGATGTGGAAATGGGAGAATGTGTGTATGTTGTCAGGGTTAGGGAGAACACAGGTGAGAGAGGAAAGGAGAAAAGAAAGGAAATGAGACTAGAGAAGGAGAGAAAGTTAAGATTTGAGGAACCTCTTCCTTGTAGAGAATTTGAGTTTAGCATGTAGGCAATAGAGAATCTAAAAGGTTTTTAATCAAAGTAATACCATATTTCACGTTTAGGCTTTGTGTTTCATGGAGTATTCTGTAAAGGTTGTTCTGATATGCAGAATGGATTGGGGGAGGTGAGAAGAGACAGGAAGATCTGATAGATTTTTGGGAATATTCCAAGGAAGAGATTCAAAGCTAGTGAAATTGACTATTAATGGAAAATGAGAGAAGGATTTGAGACTTTTTTTTAAAAAGGTCTGGCAAGGCTTTCTAACAGCACATAGGGAATGAGGGGAGTGGTAGAGGAGGATGCTGGGCTAACAGCCAGGCTTTGGCAGGGGTATGGGGTGCCAATGGGAGAAGAGTAAAGGATTGGGAGAGAAAAGAAATGTCCTGTAAACTTCGAGAGATACAAACTCGGAATGCAGGAGCTATTTTAATTAGAAGTATCACTATTAATCACCAGGGTAGAGGACATGAGATATCTCTGGGAGAATACACACAATAAAAAGAGACGAGGACAAAGTAACCCTGAAGCACATCAACATTTGAAGAAATGACAGAGGAGCCTGCAGTGGAAACAGGATGAATGGTCAGATTGGAGCAATCTGTGGACAGGGTAACAGAATGGAAGGGTGGAGAGCAATGGAAGAAAAGTGGCATGGTCAATACCATATTAAACACATTCTTTTCTGTGTCTATAAGGCCATCTATCGCAGGGACAATACCTTTCTTAAGACTTAAACTACCCAGCATCTAATATACTTTTAAACATGGTTGGTACTCACAAATGTTGAGTTGAAGTATAAAGCATGTTTGCTACCAGAGGAGTTGGTGATATAACACCATTCAAAATTTTCCCCTAAAGAAAGTCTGCATATCAGTGAGTTCCCAGGAGTCTCGAGCTCAAACATTCATGGTGGTGTCATAGTATCTGTATTCTGCCTTCATAAAATTGCTAGAACTGTTGCCAGCTTTAGTATAATCAGGATGTTACTCATCTAGCCCAAAGAAGAATCTCTTACTGGCCAATTAGAAAAAGACAGTACATTTTCAGAAAACAAAGGGATGAAAAAGAAGTGGCTGGCCAGAGACCTCAGAGTTCATTTTAACGTGGGCTCCAGTGAGACATGTAGAGCCATCACTCCAAGGGTAACAGGTAATCAGTGACAAGTCGGTAGAAAGTATGTCATTAGTAATATCGAAACATGCTTGTGCTGGATGTATAGTAGAATATGTCTTCTCATTCCATAATAGTGGTCTATCTTGTTAACACATCTTTTGGTTATAAACCTCTCTTGGTATATAGACATAAACCTATAGAGATGAGATATAGTTATAGATGCAGATAGATACAGATACATGCATACAGATGTAAACACTGTATAGGTATGAAAAATATGCATGTAGTAATGGATATGGTCATGAATATGGAGATGTTTGGACTAGGTAGGTGCCTCCTGACTATTGCAGGATGGATTCAGGTGCTTAGGGCAATTAAGAACAGGTACACAGTACTGTCAAAAAGCTTATTTCATATTATATGTACAAATAAAATGACATGATACCTGAGATTTGCTCCAAAATATTATGGGAGGTAAAATAGGTGAGGCACAGATCAAGCAAGATTCATTGTGAGTTAATACTTGTTGAAGCTGGCTGATGGATATATGGATGTTCATACTAAACTGTTTACTTTTGTATTTGTTGAGATGTTTCCTACAATTAAATGTTTTTAAAAAGTGAAAGCTTGTTTTAGCCTCAGAGTACTACATATTCAAATAGCATCTTATTAGCTACTAAACAGTGTGGTAGAGATAATTAAATCAGTGGACATTCAAGGGGGATATCAAAGAGGGGATGAGCCTAGAAGCAGGACATTGAAGTGAGGGGATATAGTTTGGATAGACAGAGGAATTGGGAGGGCATTTGGGAAGGGGAAGCAATAGTGTGATGGTTAATACTGAGTGTCAACTTGATTGGATTGAAGGATACACAGTATTAATCCTGGGTGTGTCTGCGAGGGTGTTGCCAAAAGAGATTAACATTTGAGTCAGTGGGCTGGGGAAGGCAGATCCACCCTTAACCTGGTGGGCACAATCTCATTAGCTGCCAGCTAATATAAAGCAGGCAGAAAAACGTGAAAAGGAGAGACTGGCCTGGCCTCCCAGCCTACATCTTTCTCCTGTGCCAGATGATTCCTCTCCATGAACACTGGACTCCATGTTCTTCAGTTTTGGGACTCGGACTGGCTCTCCTTGCTCCTCAGCTCACAGACGGCTTATTGTAGGGCCTTGAGATTGTATAATACTTAATAAACTTCCAAATACATATACATATGTATACACACACATATCCTATTCCATCCTTCTAGAGAACCCTGACTAATACACAATAGGGAAAGAAAAAGGCATTTGTTGAACAATAAAAATACTAGTTTAAGACTAATGGATGACTGATGTAAACATTGAATTGATAGAGTTCTATGTTATGAAAATCCTTGGATCCTACAGGATTCAATTTATATCCCATCCATAAAGTGAGAAACAGGAACCCATTGATCATTTCTGAAAAGAATAAGAAATCCATTTTAAAGAAGATTATTCTGGTATAATGAAGAATGGATAGACTAACAGCAGGAAGTCCTACTAAAAAGACTTGTCAGAATTCTCAGGGATGATGTGATAAAGACCTCACTAGTGTGGTGGTGGTGAAAGGAATGGGTGGGTAAGAGAAAACACTTGAAGCAAGAATTAAATGACTCCGTGACTATCCAGAGGTGAAGCAAAGGAATGCTCATTGTACCTATGTAAAGACATTAAAAAAATCAAACTTTTACTTATAATAAAGTAACTTTGGCAAAACCTGGGGAGCTGATTTAAGGTTTTAAGAAATGACATGTTCAGATATTTTTAAAGATGTAGCTCCATTTAAATTTTCCAAATTCATGTTTTAGACAGCCGTATTTTCATTATCACTCTCTTTTTCTTTGGGCAGAGTATAACATCTATGACTGATATTCCAATGCATACTATATGTGGGTAGGTATTCTGAAAAATACAAAAGTAATTACACCAGGGCAGGACCACTCTATTAAACGTTATACTTTGTAGACAAGAAAAAAATTTGAATGTACATTATAACACACCCACACAATAAGTTAATATTCATGAAACCCCATTCTCTGATTACATAAGAATGTAAAGAACGTCTCAATTGTCACTTAATGCATCTGACTTTATTAAGATTGAGCATAAAAAGCAAGAGGCTGGATTAAAAACCACCATTAAAATACCCAAGTGAATTTAATTCAGTATTTATGGAACTGAGTATGTTTTACTCTAATAAGGAACAGCTTAATGCAATTCAGTCTGAACAAACACAACCCTATGCAGAGGATAAAGTAAGAGTGACAAGATGCCAACACATTATGACAGCTACTGTGCTGCCTGATCTAGAACATTATGCATTTTCTAAAAGTGCATAAAAAGCAAATTTTATTATTGCTTCCAGCACATCAACCTCACATTTTTAGTTTTTATTACCCATAATCCCACAGGTTCTGGTAAAACATCAAACTAGAGTTTATTAGTTAACATTTTAAAAGAACACGATTTTAAGATGCTTTCTCAGGTGCTCTATTTCAGCAATTTTGCTTCATAGGCCAAGTAGCAGACATATCACCAGCACTGAAAACAGCCAACACACTATTATTACCAACAGGGAAATCCACCCGCGAGTTGAACCAGTACCAACCAACCACACTGAAATGCTGACAGCATCACGGGACTTTCCAACTGTAGGGACTTGGAAAGCAGCTGCTATACCCCTTCACTAAATGCAGATGGGGAGAAGTGAGTTTGTTTTTTTCATGCTCAGGAGGATGGATACTGATGGGAAAACCAGCATGAATTTCCACAGAGGTACCAGTGATGAGGCCATTAGTTCCAGCTATTAGTTGCAAACTGATCTCTCATCTGCCACCTGCTCCTTTTCCTGCATTTTCTTTCTCAGTTCACTGCATTACCATCTACCCAATGGCCCAAGCTAGAAATCTCCAAATTGGCTTTTTTCTCTATCCCTCCTGACTCCCACTGCCCCTACTGCTCCCGTCAAAGTTAAGAGATCAATTCCATCCCTTCTCTGACCCCACTGCCATACTTCAGGGTCCTTACCTTGCCCTTCACATAATACTAGAGGTTTTAATCAGATTGTGTTTAACCATCATTTAATGCTAACTGAGCTATCCCTTGGTACCTGTAGGGGATTGGTTCCAGGACCCCCCAGAATGTCTAAATTCAGAGATGCCCAAGTCTCTTACACATAAAAAAGTAGTATTTGCATATAACCTACAGACTTCCTCTTGTATACTTTAAATCATCCCCAGACTACTTATAATATCTAACACAATGTAAATGCTGCATACATGGTTGTAACATTGTATTGTTTAGGGAACAGTCTACACATTCAGGACAAACACAATCATTCCTTGTCTCCCCAGATATTTTTGATCTGCAGTTGAATCCATGGATGTACAACACATGCACAACACACGTGGGGGCCTGACCGTAAAAACAAGTCTACAATGTGTCATCTAATCATCGATTAAAGGTAAAACCTATTCTCATGAGAGACTAAAGACAAAATCCTTTTTATCTCTATCAATGATTAGATGACACGTGATAGACTTATAGACTTGTTGACCCATTATAGACTTGTTGCTGGAAGATTTAGAAACTGTTAATTTAGAAATTAGGAATGAAATTAGCACTTGGAATCACTTATCTGTAGTGCTTATAACTCAGATTTAATATTCTGAGTTTAACAGAATATTGGCTGACATATAAATTCCATAGACATTCCAAATATTAAGAAATGCTAACATTTTTCAGAGAAAAAGATACTGGTCAGTTAAGTGGCTGACACTGGATTTAAGAATCCTTTCCTTCTGCTGCTCCTATCCTAAGGCTGATCAAGGACGTGTTTCTCAGATTTCAGATTCGTCTCCCTGTACACACTTGCAAATGTGACAAACCTAAGTTCTTAAGGGATTCATTTTCAGAAAATTAACATATCATCTTTGATTTTTAAATTTGGAAGTTGATACAGGGAGTGGGCTATTTTCTTTTCTGCCACAAAAAACAAGTTGTTATCTCCCAAAAACCTGAAGTGGCTATTTTGAGGAATTTAGTCAGATCCAGTCTCTGAGCGACAGCTTTGAAGGGAGCTGTACTGATTACACAATCCCTTTTCACCCAGGCCACTGTTCCCAGCCTTGTCAGGGCAGGCCTATTGCTATGTGCCAGTCACCTTGGAGACACAGCAAGAGCAGCTTCATCTTGTGGCCTTTTCTTTAGTTCCTCATTTTGAAAGCCACTTACACTTGAATGTATTATTTAATATGGTGAAAAATGCATCATTTCTTCCAGAGCTTCAGAGCTCTAACGGGCTTAAAAAGCTCTGGAAATCTTTCTAAAACTAAAATAACCTTGCCCTCAGAAGAACAGTGTATGGTGTTCATATCAGGATTATCAGCAGTGGGCCTGGATGAGTAAAATAATTAAACGAACAGCTTTATGAATGTGGGTGGCATGATGCCCCTCACCTCCACCCAAGAAGCTTAAAAGGGCCACATGTGTCATAAACCAATTATCCCTCCCACCATGCCTGAAAGAAGTACAAAATTGCTATAGCCATAGCTTCAGAGGTCCTGTTAAATCCTAGACACACAATAACTGTGCAAAGAGAAATAACTTGGTCCAGCGTCGAGAACAAAGACTAAAAGACTTCATCAGATGTTCAATTTCCTGACAAATGGTATAAACTGATCATGTTGATTGAATCAGAGATTGCCAATTCAGTTAGGTCATTTAAACCAGACTTAGAGAATTTATATATTTCTTTTAACACTCCTTTTTAGCTATAGACTTGAACCAGAGGTAGAAAGAAAGAATGGCATATGGTGTCTCTGTATTGTCAGTGTAGCTAAGCTTCAACTTTCTCAAAATTCTTTTCTCTCTATGGCTCTTGCCTAGAGCTGACTGCAAGAGAAATTTGTGAAAAGAGTGGACTCCAGAAGCGAATCTGGATTCTTGTTTAGCTTGGCAGGAGAGCGTAGTGTCAGAAGTGAAGTTCATGTGTGTTGCGGATATGCGGGTTCACCTTGTCGGCTTCTGTCTTATCTCTTCCATCAGCTTTCCTAATCCTGGGCCAGGTGCATTTTTAGGACCCTGAAAGACCGTGTCAGCTTCTCCTGAAAGTCATCGGCCTCATTGAAACTAGAGGCTTGAAAGTTGTGAAACCAACTCAGTTTCCAGTTTATCCTTATGGATTCGAATTTGTCCTTGTTCTCTCTCCGTTCACACCTATTTTTCCTTCCCAAATCCCTGCTCACCTCAGGCCTAGCACCAGATGCAAAAGCAACAGCCATACATGAAATGCTTAACCAACCCTCAGAATTGTACCATGCCCAGGTCCTCTAATAAATCCCATATTCTATCACATGCCTGATGGTTTACATCTCTGACCAAATTCTGAGTGACACAGGAGGTGTGCCAGGCTCTGTCACAGGCACATTGCTATAAATTGCACAATCCCCCCTCACAAAAGCTTCAGTTTTAACTGAATTGGAAGGAAAAAATACACAAAAATGCCGACAGTCACAGGAGTCTCTGTGGCACCAAATTCAAGCTTTATGTTATTAGGTTGGTACAGATATAATTGTGGGTTTTGCCATTTAAAAGTAATGGCAAAAACAGCAATTACTTCTGCACCAACCTAGTATTTCCCTCGTGTCACATAGCTTGATGAAGTCTCCCCAGTCAAAGCACATTAAACATTGACATTAGGAAAGTGAAGACCTCAGGGTAAAGAAATTAGAGCTAAGGGCCAGGCTATAATAGAGCTAGAAGGAAATAAGTTGATTAAATAGGCACAGAGCTAAGAAGCAAGTGGTAAGACTAAATTCAGGGAGTCAACAGAAGTTCTCAGTCTTTAGGTACTAAAGAGTCTCAGTAAACCCTTACAACATTAAAGACAGAAAAATCCTCACATGTATTTAAGATTGGGGCAATAAGCTAATAAATTGAAAAAAAAAAAAAAAAAAAAAAAGGGAGACACCAAGTCCAGAGGGCAACCAGGACAGAATGTCGAGAATTTTGGAAGCCAGGAGATCAAGTATTTTGTGAACAGCTACTTTTGCCGACGGTAAATTTGGATGCCTTATGGTTCAAAGGACAGAACAAAGCGAGGGGGAAAAGCCAGCTCATAGGTGAGAACTAGATTGCAGGGATTGAAGAAGTAGGAGAAACATACAAGAGGAAGGGTTTAGGAAAGGCTGAGATAAGGGCCTTTTGGGTGAGTCAAGGATAATTCTCATTAGAGCCTAACCTAAGCCCATCTCTGATCTTGACATTTAGGCACAAAGACTAAAATGACTATCCAGTCAGTCAACAGGACTCGAGCTCAAAGCCAGGTTAGTGGCAAATCAGGGTGACTTTATGTTGGACCACAAAATATTTGTCTGGAGATTCTTTCTCTCTTTCCGGAGGTCAGAGTTGGTCCTATCAGGGTTGTACGCTGAGGTCAAGTGATTCTTGCAGCTGGCAAAAGATAGGGAACCAGAAGGGGTGACAAGTTGTGAGGCTTGAAAAAGAAACTGTGTATGAATAGACATATCAATTACACATAAGGCATGAAACTCAATGATTAAGTGATTTACCAGTTTTACACTTATGATCCATATATGTAATATTTGTTCATATGACATATCTAACAGATATTATATATGCTCCATATACATAACGAGGCAATGTTGACCACATTTTCACGTTAATTATATTTACTGGAACTGAGTGCAGAGATTCAACTTTTCTTAGTGATCAACCGAAGTTCCTGTGTTTAAAGATCTATTGCTTTGTCCTAAACTACTTACACTGGAGTAAAGTAAGTCCATAGACTTTGAAGTATTACTTTTCTCTTCTGATATGAAGATCCGTTATTCCACATTAAGTTGTGCTTTTCCAGTTTCTTGTCACAAGCATGTCTATAAACAATTATATTGATTGAACTTGGCTTTGATGTTCTAACACTCCTGGAATTCACACAGTGGAGTTTCAAAAGTAATGAGCCCACAGATGTATATCCTGCCACCGCCACCACTCCCACATTCACACTTTTAAATATGTCTTCTGAAAGAAATACAAGAAGACTCTCATGCAGTTACCTGATATTTACAGCCAGCAAGGAAATGTTTGAAAAATATGCAGGAATGGCAGCTTTCTGGCTTTTTGGCTTATTAGATCCCTTGCTTAAAAATAACAATTTCAAGACTCAGCAAATAAAAACTCTCATTGCAAAGATGTGATAAAATTCACAAAAGGAATCTACTTCAGCAGTATTTGGCTTAGGTCCCTTCTTGGTAATGATTCATTTTAATATCCTCGGTCTTGTTAAATTCTTACACTTATTTTTATTTGCTCACTGTGTCCTAACCAGCAAGAAAGCTATTAACATGATGGTCATGGATGTTCCTTTCTTTACATATTGCATTTTCTGTTCCCCTTCACTGGAAGTAACAGCTTCAAAATGAGTATTAGATTATTAGACTTTCATTCATGCATAATTTTAATGCAGTCAATCTGGACCAGGAAAGCTTCTCCTTTAGTTGAGCTATGGGCAGAGAGAAATTTCTAGATTTCTCAGTTCTGAAACTGGGTGTATAGTACAGAATTGGGCTAAGCCGATTTCCAGAGGAAACCTGGGGATAAATCACATCATGACCAGGATTATCCTCAGGCTGGCTATTGGGTCAGACGGAACTCTAGTTTCCACAGATAGTTTCAGAAAGAAATGTTTATGGGAAAAGTTCTGATCCCATGAAGATCACTTATTTATATTGACATTTGAAGGAGATATGGAGGTGGAGGGAGGAAGGACCACTGGCTGCTGTGCACCAAAACCTACTCATTTGACCCAAAATACTTGTAGTTACACAGAAGGGCACAGAAGATGCTAACTTGAGGTACTGAGAATCTTCTACAAGCAGGGCAGTATCAAGGCCCCTGATGAGAGAAGTCTGTCCTGGTACAGCAATAAGGGAAAAAAGGAGCTTTGACTCTACAGAATTGAAAAACAATAAAACCAACCAAAAGTGGTTTTACATTTTATTAACACTATTAGTTGGTAATTCCTAACATCAGTGATAAATTCAAACTTTCTTCGGTCTAAAATCTAAACAATCCTGCAGTTTACAAGTGAGTTTTAATTATATATATCTGCCTTGAATGGGGATATAAAAATGCCAGGCATGCATGCTACAAAAAGGATACCTAAATACAGCAAATAATTCGGGAGTTTTTGTTTTGCTCTACTTAATGATATGTAATCTGTAAATATAGCTACTGTTGATTGTCTCATGGACAGGCATGGCTACCAGGATAACACAGAAGCATTTCATTTAAAATTGTTTTAGTGTATTTTTGTACAGAGGTATGTGATACCTTTGGAAAATATGAAGCTCAGTATGGCCATAGTTGAGTAGAACAAAACTTTCACTGATTTTGTCCCCTTCTTTCATCCACTCTGCTACAATCTATGCTTTTCCAAATGAGTACAAGAAGCAGAGAGATGGTAAAGGCCTTCTTGAAAATGACTTCTCATGTCTCATCCTAAATTCAGGAGGTGTTTCAAGTCCTGAATACTGACCTAATCTTTGTAACACACATCGTCCTTAACCCTCATTTTTAACTAATCAAACAAATCAATAGGAGGTAAAGAAGTAAATCGAAGGTGAAATAGCATAATCCTGCTGGTTTATATGCCATGGAGATCATATTTACAGATATTAACACAGCAAGGAAAACAACTCTCCCCCCCAGAGTATAGCACATTTTAAAATCATTGCTATTTTTAGAATGTGTCTTTTTGTGACAATGAAAAAGAGTTTCACATAGTAATTGGCCTTTACACCAAATTTGGATAAATAACTGAAACTTGGTTCAGGTTTCAACCATGTCACATTCAATCATCACATGAATGAATATTACGAAAGCAAAACTGAACTACTTTTTATTAGAAATGTTTTTCCCTGTGTATATTTTGTATTTCTTCCCATGTCTTGACATTAAGCCAGCTCAATAGGAGATGTGTCCTACTAAATTACATATGATCCTTATGCAATTCTAGTGTCCAATTAATAGTGGCAATCACATGTCAAAAGGACACATGCAGAGTCTGTAGTTTACCATCATTACTTTCCTCTCAGCAAGCTGTAATAATCCTTCATTTTGTTTCTCCTCTCCTTTCTTCGACCTCAGATAGCTTCTACCTACTTTCTTAATTCTTACAAAAAAAAAAAAGTAGTGCTTACTTTTGAGGCCCTCTGGTATTTCACGCCTGCCTCTGATATTCTTAACTTTACGTTCTCCTTGAAAACTCATTATTTCAAGGTAGTATATGTTGAACTAATAGATTTTAATACTTGCATAGATTGGATACAAAAATCACTAATATCACTAATAGTCAAGGATTCTTCAACTCTACTGAAGCAAAACAAAATAAAAAAAAAAAACTGTCCAAATAACATTTAGCATTCAAAATGGAAAATAGAAAAAAAATTAAAGTAAACCCAGATTATTCTTACCACTTTACAACTTGTTGAATATTCTTGAATACCCTTGGAGAGTTGATAATAGTAATTAGAGAGCTTGCATGCGAATGCTGGTTAGATCAGTTGGGTTAAATTATGACTCTGCCCTTGTTTTAGCTAGGCCACCTTGGACAAGTTTCTAAACATCTCTATGCCCAAGTTTCCTCATCTGCAGAACTAGGAAAATAGAGTTGTAAAAATTAAATGAGCTGATATTTACGAAGTGCTTAGAATAGCACCAGGTCTAAACCCCAGTGTTATTTGAGACAGTGTGAGTCTTCCTCTCAGAAGCACTAAGTACATAGATAATACAAGAGAAGTGATTACTTCTTTCATTGAGGATCATGGAAGTTTTCACAGAAGAATGGACTCAGTCCAAGTGGGGTGGGACAACGTCAGCGCTACTAACACCAGTTGTATTGTAATACATCATAGATGAGATAATGGGAGCCTGAAATGGTAACAGCTATCAGGTCAAATTAAAGACAGCTTTGACTTTGACTCCATAAAGAATAAATCTACAGAATGTGGCAACTAAGTAAAGCAAGGAATCTCAGCCTTGGCATCAGGGAGAACGAGTATGTCCTCCATGCACACAGACACAAAGCACTCCAGAACCCGGGCACTGGGTAATCCTTGAGCAGATAGCAGTAGCCTGGAGTGTGAGGGCAGGAATATATGTTAGAAGGAGAATGCCAAGATCAAGGAAGAAACAGGCAGTAGACCAAGCCCAGAACTTAGGTGAAGGAATTAGAGAGTTGAAAAAAGGTTGCTCCTTGTGTGGGAACAAAAACCAGAACACAAGGGCAGGGAGGACTCTCTCAGGGGACCTCTACCTGTCTCCCAGAGGTTCCCAAATCTCTTATCACCAAGAGCCAAGATTTGCCCTAGATACCAGGGGGTCATCGTAATACTGTAGAAGTTCAACTTAGGAGGAAAGAACGATGAAAATGCCAGGAAATAGAAGGAAGTTCTCCATTGTAAAGTTCTGTATAGAAATCAAAGTCCTGGAAAAGAAGTATTTCTACATACTTTGATGACCCAAGGTAGAGGGGTTTTAAGTGAAAATGAAGAAAGAGGAACAACAGGAGTCACATATTTTTAAATGACTACTTTGAAGCACATTAGGTACAATATGAAAAGTAACAATAAAGAAACTGCCTAGAAATTCACAGACTAAAACAGCTGGGAGAGGGGCCAGAAGACACTTAGATGTCTACATACTGACATACAGAGATTTGGCAAATTTAACTTAGATCTTTCAACTTGAAAAGAAATGTAACAGCTCATATGTTATCAAGACACAGCAACAAACATAGCTGTGGAAAACTATATCCCACTCAAAATAAACACAGTTTTTGCTTTGTTTGGTTTTCAGAAGAATATGAAAAATGTTCTGTTATCAAGGCATATACCTGTGTATGTTGACATAAATTTATACAAGGAAATTAAGTGTCATGAGTTTCCTTATGGTTTCTTTCTAAGTGGGTCTCGAGGCCTTTGTATCAAGAGTGGACCTAAGTAGGCCAGGCACGGTGGCTAGTGCCTGTAATCTCAGCACTTTGGGAGCCCGAGGCGGGCAGATCACTTGAGGTCAGGAGTTCGAGACCAGCCTGACCAACAGAGTGAAATCTCATCTCCACTAAAAGTACAAAAACTAGCCAGGCATGGTGGCGTGCGCCTGTAGTCCCAGCTCCTCCACAGGCTGAGACAGGAGAATTGCTTGAACCTGCGAGGCGGGGGTTGCAGTGGGCCGAGATCACGCCATTTCACTCCAGCCTGGGCGACAGAGACTCTGTCTCAAAAAAAAAAAAAAAATAGTGGACATAAGTAAAGCTAGCCTCTCTCTAGGGAAGCCTTGACCAGAGAAAAGTCAGGTTCGGCTGTGTCAATCAGGTAAGACACAATGACACGACAAAACGAAAATCATGAAACAGAAGAAACGTGCTACTTACAGATCTCAGAGCAATGAGTGGTGCTGACAGGAGGCTGACAGGAAGCCTGCGGGCAGCAAAAAGCTCAAGCAGTGAGTGAGGAAACAAGAGAAAGAGGTAGGACCTGTGGGCCTTATTTATTAAGCTCCATGGGTATTATTCTTTAGGGTTTCCCGTGGGGGGGTGTGGATTGGCTAGTTCAGAGAAAACACCTGTGTGACAAGCAGGAAAACTTAATTATAGGACTCAGGTGTTGGCCACTAGGTTTACTGTGGCCAGCAGCTGTAATGTGTCAAGTTTGGGATCAGTGAGATGAGAAATAAGCAAGCTATATCACGAACCACTACAAACACAGGGAGAGCAAGTTTTAACTAGGCCATAGGTGTTGGGTACTATCGCATTTCAAATAACTTACATCAGCTAAAAATGGAGGCTGAGGCTGCAACTATATTAAACAAAGTTATAACACTAAACCTTTGGCTAGAGAATAGAAGGAAAAAGGGAATATGAAGAGGAGGAGCTTCTGGGAGAACCAGCGTCATACTTTGATTACTTAAGAGTTTTTTTTGTTGTTGCTTTTTGTTTTTTTTTGGGCTCGGATCTGGTCACGAGGCTGAGCAGGTAGCTATCTGAAGAGACGGAAGATGGAGTATGGCTTTACTTTCGGCATTGAATACAGCTGTAAGAATGTTGATGCTAAACAGTTGTGCTATCAATAAATCCTGTGTCTTCAGACTTTCTAATGGCCTAGTTGCTCATTAAGATGTGAGTGAGAAATATTTAGCAACAGACTGTTTTGGCTGCAACCTGCCTGCTTCAACATAATGTTGAAAATACAGATTCTGAATAAGAGGTCTAAGTAACTCCCACCCACAAAAGTGTGTATGCAATTTATCCAGTGCAACCATTATAGCGGACAATGGTTTTAGCCACAAATCAAAAATCAATGTCATGTGGGTGCAGTGTGGTGAGGCTGGCCACTTGGTATCAATCGTCTGAGCCACAGCCTCACACAGAGATGATAATTACCATCAGTCATACCTGCAGAGAAAAGGCCGGCACACTTCTCTTTCCTCGTCCTTTAGAATAATTCCAAATTTATAACTCTGTAATTCAGCCTTGAACTATTTGTAAGTAAATAATAAGAATTATAAAGCCACATGTTTAAAATGGAGTCTGGTAGGTTATCTACTTAGACATTGTTTTTAGCAGTTAACTGCCATCATGATAGTAATTTAAAATTAAAAGAACATGACTTTTACAATAATCTGTAATTCTGATAGAACATTTCTGAAATGAGTAGGATTACTGAAGTGTGTATATGTGTGTCTGCGCATAACTTTAAACTTAGAAATTTTAGAGTAGGTTAATCAGATTAAAATATAAAGGATCACTAAGCAATTTAAAATCTTTTTGACAAATGTAAGGAGCTTCCTACTGAGTAGCTGCGACTATGGGCGTGTACCACCACGACTGGTTAATTTTTGTATTTTTAATAGAGATGGGGTTTTGCCATGTTGACCGGTCTTGAGCTCCTGACCTCAGCCGGTCTCGGCCTCCCAAAGTGCTGGGATTACAGGCATGTGTTGCTTATTTTGAAGATAATTGTCTGTAAATGCATAGCTGTAAAATAGTACTGTAGTTGTATGCCATTGAAAATTAACACAAAAGAGTTTTCATTTGTCATGAAGTTATTTGCAATGAGAAACAGGACAGCCAAAGAGTTTTGTTGTTATGATAATGAGACTTTCAAGTAAGATAATAAAAATATGTCCAATACAGATTACCATCGTGTTCTTGACAGTATTTTCATGTTCAGCCTGTATGTTCCACTATATTTGATTTACTAGTACTTCATCAAAATTCATGTCTACAAGAAACAACATAATTTCAAAGTCCTTTCGTGCATTAGGGGCTATCGTGGCTTATTCATTACAAATTACCTTTTAATCTAATAGTATTTAAGCTGAGAAATATTTGGAACCTTTTACCTTTTTTTCTCAGAAAAAAAAGGAAAACTTTATAGAAAAAGGCTTTCTGTTGCAAAGAAGTGTCACATTTTTAATTTTTTCATGGATATAACTGTGATAAAGCAAGGGGTTTTGTCCAAATGTAATAACCAAAGCTCACCTGTGTTCATTGTATCAAACTCTTTTTGTGTAATTCTAACTATGGAAGCTGAAGACGCTCTTGTAAAACTTGTTGTCATGACAACAAAATTCCATAAGAAATGATACAAGACTGTATGTGAAGGAAGTATTCATGACATGATTTAACTGAAAGATGCTTCAGCTACCCACTACAGCCCCATTTTTCAGCTTGTCTATTGTTTGCTTACATTTTTTTAACATCTAACAAAATTTCCATCTGGCATAACTCTTTAATAAATACGCTAAGATTAGCAGTTATTTTCAGCTTCCTTTTACCAACTGTTATTTATAATAAGTAGAAAGGAAGGTTACTAAAAGTTGTCAACCTTTATAAGTTATGAAATATTTTCCTTGACCACTTATCCTTTATTTGATCTGAAGAATCTCCTTCAAGCATCCTCTCACAGATTTCTCCACAAAGGAAAGTTTTGAAGCTCTGGGCAAGGAGAATTTGTAAGAAAGTAAAGATTTATTAATATTATTTGACAAAGATGAGAAGGTAAAAAGTGAAAAGGTAAAAATAATAATTTTAAATAACAAAGCATACTTGTTTTTGCGCACACAATCACACACACACAAAAAAACTTTAAAACTAGTCTCAAAAAAGAAAGCTTTTGCTACTTGACATTTTTTGGATTTTAGATTCTAGACTCTAGAATGAGAACAAAATTCTAATAAATTTCAAAATGTAAAATATGGGTGACACCTTCCAGTTTTGGGAAAAATTAAGAAAAAGAAATTATGGGAAAACAGTATGGAGGTTATCAAAAGAACCGCAAGTGGGACTACCTTCAATCCAGTGATCCCACTACTGGGTATCTACCCAAAGGAAAATAAATCATCATATGAAAAAGACATATGCACATATAGCAACACACCTCACAACTGCAAAAATATGGAACCAACCTAAATGCCCATCAACCAACAAGTGAATAAACATAATATGGTGTATATACACCGTGGAATACTACTCAGCTAGCTATTTAAAAAAGATCAAAATAATGTCTTTTGCAGGAATAGTAAACCAAATGTCATATGTTCTCACTTATAAGTAGGAGCTAAGCTATGAGGATGCAAAGGCGTAAGAATGATATAATGGACTCTGGGGACTTAGCAGGGAAGGTTGAGAGGGAAGTGAGGGATAAAAGACTATATATTGGGTACAGTATACACTGCTCAAGTGACAGGTGCACTAAAATCTCAGAAATCACCACTAAAGAATTTATCCATGTAACCAAAAACCACCTGTAGCCCAAAAACTATTGCAATAAAAATAAAAATTAATAATAAAGGAAATTATGAAAAACTTTGTAGTTTTCCTATTCAATGTTTCTTATTACTTTCTTAATCTCTTCTTATATAAGAGCTTAACACTTACTCTGGGACTTGGGGTTCTTCCCATTGTAATGATAAACCACCTCACGAGTCCCTTCTTTGCCTTGTAGCAAGAGTTTTCATACAATAATTTAATATCTAACTGTACATTTTGCTCTTGCCAAGTTAAACTCTTCTTTGTTTCATGAAGATGGTCATAACCACCCAGAATCTTTCTTCATCTCCAACAGTTTTAGTCAGTGTAATAAGGCAAGAAAAGGAAGAAAGGTCATATAAATCAGAATGGGAGAGATAAAACTGTCCCTATCTGCAGATAACATGATTGTTTACATAGGAAATCTCAAGAATGGTTTGAAAACACTCCTAGAACTAATGAGTAAATTTGGCAAGGCCAGAGAATGCAAGATAAACATACAAAAATCAATTATATTTCTATACAATAGCAATAAACAGGTAAAAACCAAATTAAAAACACAATACTATTTGCAATCACTCAAAAAAAAAAGAGAAAACTACTTAGGTGTAAATTCAACTAAATGTGTATAGGATTTGTATTTTGAAAACCACAAAAGTCTGACTAAAGATATCAAATATCGCTGAATAAATGAAGGGATATACTATATTCATGACTTGGAACTTAATATAGTAAAGATGTGGATTTTCCCCCAAATTAATACACAGGTTTAATACAGTTTCTATCAAAATCCCAATGAGCTTGTAAAATAGCTATAAACAAGATTATTCTAAATTTTTATGGGAAAGCAAAGGAACTAGAATTGCTAAATAGGCCGGGCACAGTGGCTTATGCCTGTAATCCTCGCACTTTGGGAGGCCAAGGCGGGCGGACTGCCTGAGCTCAGGAGTTCAGGACGAGCCTGGGCAACATGGCGAAATCCTGTCTCTACTAAAAATACAAAAAAACTAGCTGGGCGTGGTGGTGCACACCTGTAATCCCAACTACCGGGGAGGCTGAGGCACAAGAATCGCTTGAACCCAGGAGGCAGAGGTTGCAGTGAGCCAAGATCAGGCCACTTCACTTCAGCCTGACTGACAGAACAAAACCCTGTCTCAGAGAAAAAAAAAAAAAGAAGAAGAAGAAAAGAAAAACAAGAATAAATGGGAAGAAATTACTCTACCCCATCCTGTCTTATTATACATTTATACATCTCTAGTAATGGAGATCATGTGGTATTGGTAGCATGATAAATGCATAAATAAATGGGACAGGTGAAGAAGGCTAGCTGATGTTTTATAAAAATGCAAAGACAATTCAATGGAAAAAGGATGAACTTTTTCACAAATGGTTCTGGAATAATAATTGGACATCTTTGGGCAAAAAAAGTAAACCTCAATCTAAATCTCATACCTTTTAGAAAAACTGAGTCAACAGGGGTCGTAGATTTAAGTGTAAAACATAAAAAGTCTAAAACTTTTAGGAGTTAACCTAGAAGAAAACCTTCAGGACCTGGAACTTCATGAAAAGTTCTTAGACATGATTCTAAAAGCACTAGATATTTTTTAAAATCTGTAAATTGGACTTAATCACAATTAAATACCTTTGCTGTATGAAAGACTGTCAAAAGAATGAAAAGACAAACAATAGATTGAGAGAAACTATTGCAAACCATACATTCAACAAAGGATTCATATTTAGAATACGTAACTCATCCTCAAAGCTCAACAGTAAATATATGCATATATTCAATTGGAAAATGACAAATATATGAAGAGATATTTTTCTGAAAATGATACACTGATGGAAAATGAGTGCAAAAAAAACACAATCAATATCACTAGCCAATAGAGAAATGCAAATTAAGGCCACCAAGAAATATCATTATACATCTACAGTACAGCTCAAGTAAACAATAGCAACAATACCAAATGCTAGCAGGGAATGGGGAAGCTGGATCTCTCATGTTGCTAGCAGGACTGTAAAATGCTCCAGTCGCTATAGAAAACAGTTTGTTTCTTAAAACACTAAATATACACTTACCGTAAGACTCAGAAATTTGTGCTCCTGAATATTTATCCAAAATGAAACTAATGTTCCCCCCAAAAAAGCTGTACACAATTGTCCATAGAAGGCTTATTTGTAATAGACTAAAACTAGAAACAACCAAAATGCCCCTCAATGGTGAAACAAACTATGGTATGCCCATATTGTGGAACATTATGCAACAATAAAAAAGAATAAGCTATTAATATACACAACCACTTGGGTGGATCTTAAGGGCATTATGCTGAATGAAAAATGCCAATCTCATAAGTTCCCATACTGCATATTTTTGTTTATATAAAACTTGGAGATGACAAAATTACAGGTGTGGAAAATAAACTTGTAGTTATCAGCGGTTGGGGATGGTGGGAAAGGACTGGGATTTGGGTAGACTAGAAGGTATTAGCATAAAGGAGCTCTTTGTGGTGAAGGAATAGTTCTGTATTTTGATTACAATGGTGGTTACACAAATCAACCCCTGTGATAAAATGACTCAGTACTATAAATGCATATTGGACCAATATCAAAGTCCTGGTTTTGATTTTGTACTATAACTAGACAAAATGTAAAATGTAACTATTGGGGGAAAATGGGTGAAGGATACATTGGACCTCCCTGTTTTACCTTATAACTGCCTGTTAATTGATAATTATTTCAATCAAAAAGGGTAACTTAAAAAATTGGTGCTAGATTGTTAAGAATTTACATGTGGGTTTGAGTGGAAAAGATGTTAAAAACGCCTTTGCAGCCCTATTTCAGAAGGGTAATACTAAATCTTGGCAAATTTTATTCACTAACAGACAATAAAAGTGGGTGGGGGGAGTTGTCATCTGCAATACTTGTGAACTTTTGGAATAGCACAACACTCACAAAAGCTAGAAAATAAAATGGTACACGTGTATTTCTGTAGGCCACATTTTTCAATCTAATTTATATCCAGTAAAATAATATAGTTTCTATAAACCTTAACTCATAAACCAGCTAATAATAGGCTCTGAAGAAGCATAGGTAATACGGTACCTTATTACACCCATGTTCAGAAAAATTAATAGGTCAGATCTGGAAAATTGTATACATCACTGGAACATCCTTCAACATTGAACTAAGGCAAGGCACACTCTTGACCATTAGTCACATCATTGAGACTCAGGAGCTGTGCTTTCTGTCCACCTGCTCTCCTGCTCCCAGCTCACCTTAAGATCCACCCAAGTTGTTGTGTATATTAATAGCTTATTCTTTTTTATTGTTGCATAATGTTCCACAATATCGGCATACCATAGTTTGTTTCACCATTGAGGGGCATTTTGGTTGTTTCCAGTTTTAGTCTATTACAAAAAAGGCTTCTATGGACAATTGTGTACAGCTTTTTTGGGGGGAACATTAGTTTCATTTTGGATAAATATTCAGGAGCACAAATTCCTGAGTCTTACGGTAAGTGTATATTTAGTGTTTTAAGAAACAAACTGTTTTCTAGAGTGAATGGAGCATTTTACAGTCCTGCTAGCAACAGGAGGGAATACAAATGCAGGTAGACCACAACACCCATGCTCCCATCTGGAAGTCTGAGGATGATTCTTTCCACAATCATTATTTTCTCTGCATCCTTACCACATTCCTTCCACTTGTACCTAGTCCTTTATATTATTTGTATACCTCTCAGCATCCTACCTTGTATTCTAAGCTCCTCTGAAGGCACGAACTCTCTCCCGTATGCCTCTGTAACGCTCCCTTTTAAGGCGTAGTAGTTTTATGTAGTATGAATCTAATGCATGTCTGTAAAATAACATACATTTGAAAAATTACAGGAAAACTAAAATGATATAGTTGTATATTGGTAATTCCACATATTCTAAAATGTTATTAGCATCATACCAGAATATACAGTAGTGATCTCTTCATTTTAACCTTTGAACCAAAAGGAACAAATCTGAAGAAACCTGAAAATACTGAGTAGAAGGTAGTCTCTCTAAGAGTCAGACAGTGAGGTATTAAGATATTCATTCACCATTTTATGATGTTGACATTTAACAATGTTAAGATAACATTCAACATTTGTTTAGTCAACAATGACTGATTACATTCTACACATGTGGCTCTTTGTTAGATCCTGGAGAAACAAGGGTATCCAGGAAATGTGGCCTTGGCCTTCACAGAATCAGCTTACGGGATCAGTAGAGTGAGAATGGGATTTAATTTTGTAAATTAGTGGGAGCCCAATCTGCACTTTACAGGCACAGAACCAGTGTATTTAGAAGCAGTATAGTCTGAGGTCCTAGAATTGTGAAACACTTTTCAATGGGCATCTTCTTTCAAAGCTTCACCGTGGCTTGAGGTGTTGCAGGGAAATGTAAGCCAAAAGACTTGGTTTGGAGAGATATTGAATCTCTCCAACTGTGAACAATTCTGCTTTGCTTGGAATAGTTCATGCTCTTTCACATCAAGTCATTCTGGAAAAATGACCATTAGCCAACAAGTCAAAAGAAAAATAATAGTATACTTTCCTCAACTTTTCCAGAATGAGTTTACAACACAAAGCAACAAAGACTTTTAAATTCCATGTTATTATAATTCTTAAGCTTGTGAAACAAACTATAATTTTTTAAAACAGAATATTATTGTATAGCCATATCACCTGCTTTACAGGATTTTTCACCAGAAAAATCTTCTTATTTTAGTTTAACTTAAAAAACAATGCACCAAAGAAAAGCAAAGCCTGCTGGAGAAACTAATGGATAGAACCCTGACTAAATAACTTTTCCATGAAATAAAGGGTCTGACTGAGAGCTTGAAAAGTAAACCAGCCCAAGATACTGAGTTGCCTGAATTGCAAGGAATAGATCTTGCCTAGATGTGCAACTATAATTTTTAAGGTGCTTTACTTTTAAAGATTTTTATAGTTTAATCTAGCATTTATTACCTGCATGAATGGATGAATACTAGACAACTATAAGAACAGTTCAGAATAGGAATGCAAAATTCCTCCTGAATTCTTTTCAAAATCAGCTTTTGAGATTAATAAAATCTCAAATCTCTCATTGGGATAAATAAAATCTTTTGAGATTAAAATCTTTGGCACCAAACTGCTTTGCAGCACCTATTAAGAAATAGTGTAAATGGGTTCCTTGAAATAGTCAGACATATTAAGCAGTGAAGGAAGCTTTGTAATTTCAAGCAATACCTCCCAAAAGTGCTAATGCCTCTGATCCCCCTTCCCAATAATTCACTAAAATATCTGAGAAGTGCCTAGTCTTATAGCTCAGAAATCAATTAATTGTCAACCTATTGGGACTGAAAAATAGTGGCAACGAGAGGCAAAAAGAAGGTGAGAGATGTAAACATTGTCTCAATACAATATATTCCAATACACCTTTCACCAAAGAAGATGATATAGAAAGGGCACAAATAAAGATGCTTAAGATCATTAATCATCAGGAAAATACACATTTAAACCACAGGAGATACCACTATAGACCCACTAAAATGTAACTAATCAGAAAGGCTGATAATACTACGTGTTAGCAAGGATGCGGAGAAACTGGAACCATCGTATGTGTTGTTAGAAGGAATGTGAAATAGTACAGTCACTTGAGAAAATAGTTTGGTATTTTCTTTAAAACTTAAACACACATCTACCAAAGGTCCCAGTAATTTTACTCCTACATATCCGCCCATGGCAAATGAAAACATATACCTACACAGGCATTATTTATAAAGCAAAAAAAAAAAATTAGAAATAATCTAAATGTCTATCAATTGGTAACTAGACAAAGTGGGGTATAACTGTGTATTGAAATACTCAGCAATAAAAATGAACTGCTGACACATTCAACAACATGGATTTACTTCCAAAGCATGGTTTAAGAGAAAGAAGTTTGGCACCAAAGCCTGTGTATTGTATGATTCTATTTAAGTGAAAGGTCTGTTAATGGCAAATCTAAGGAAAGAGAAAGCACAAGAGGACTGCCTGAGGCTTGGGAGGGTAGCGAGGACTGACAATGGGCATGAGGGACCAGCTTGGGGTAACAGAAACATTCTAGAACTGGATCATGGTGATGGTTGCACACCTATATGAATTTACTAAACCCATAGTATTATAGATTTATAGTGAATAAATGTATGCTAGTTAAACTATAATAAAGTTATTAATTAAGAAGCAATAAAGTTTCACAATGAAACTTCTCCAATAGATCTCACTGGTGCCAATGTACAAATACCAGACATAATTCATTTGTAAACAAAGTGTGGCTCACTGTCAGGACTAAGGGAAGCAAGATTCCTAGAGTCTAGAAATATCACCTAATTCTCAAAGAAATAAGAGTGGTGGCTATCAAGTTAAGATGATTACTTGCCTCATAAGCTTATTTCATTTACATGAATGAGGTGTATGTGTGTGTAATTATGTAGAAGCCATCACATTCAGTCAGATCTGCAATAATAGTGGTAATGGAAACATAAACCTAAGCAGGATTCTCAATGAGTTTTTGCACTGACGTGCACAGGCAAGCCCATATCTCTGCCTCTAAGCACATACTCTCTTTCCAAAGGTTGTGTAATGAGTGAGTCAGAGCTGTGTACACATAAGAAAGGAAAGAGGGCAAGGCAGGGCAGGAATTCAGCTCAATGAAGCCGCGGAGCCTCCATTTAAAAATGATACTAATGAGCCCACAGAAGACATTTTTACCAACATTTGTTAGATCCCCTACAATTTAAGCTATAATAAACTGGATAGTATCAAAACTAGGCTCATTTATAACTTGACAGACAGTTAAAAGAGTTATTTGATTGTTGAGCAGATTCTTCTTCCAAAATAAAAACTAATCCATTTTTTAAATTACAAATTTCACATGAAAGAAGCTAGTATCTGTGTATGAATACTTAAATATCAAATGAAAAAGACACAAATGTTCTGTAAAGTCTATTCTGAACTGAAAGTTATAGCATTGGACTGGGAATTTTTGCTTTGTCATGGCAGAATATGGTTCTGCTCTATTCAGACAGGCACAAAGGGACTGTGGGATGTAGAGATTATATACAGACTGAAAGGATGAGCATGGATCTGCCGTGCCCTAACCCCCAGCCTCTACTGTGGTGCTTTGCACTATTTCTAGGAATGTTCTCATGAGTTACTTTCTGAATAAGCCAACTTCTGACTGTGGCTGAATTGTGGGTCAAATCATTCACATAATGGTTTGTGTAATTTGAAAAGAGCAAGCAGCATGCCGTGTGGTCTAAATCAGGGAATCTCAACCTCAGCACTTTGGGCATTTGGGATGGGATAATACCTTCATTATGAGAGTTATTCTATTCATTGTAGGATGTTTAGCAGCATCACTTGTCCCTATCAACTAGATGCCAGAAGCACTGTCGCCCTAATTAGACAACCCAAAACACTCCCACAAATTGCCAACTATCCCCTAAGAGCAACACTGGCCCCAGTTGAGAACTACTGATCTACACGATCATTTCAAACTCTTTGGAGTAGTGAAAAGATTGTATAGAAACTTTGAAAAAGTATCATTTCCTTCACTGTTGAACTGTCCAGATAACTGTAAAGCTATTGATACCTTGAAAATGCAAAGTATCTTGAAAAGTGAAGACATTTGCAAAAAGCAAAGTGTCATTATTTCACTTTTATTGCATCAACGAACTCCACCATTAAGAACGGTGAAAGAGGAAAACACATTTGATCTAAGCATTCAAACTGGATTTAAAAAGAGATTCATTTTTACTACCTGGCTGATGCAGGTCCAAGCTAAACCAATCACCTTTATTATGAAATCACAGCAAAAGACAAAATCCAAAATTTATACACAGAGTATCACCACGTTTGACTACAAAGCCTTATGATATACAGAGACCCTCACTTAATTAAACCATCAAAGTGAGAACAGCCATAATGTGCTAATTTTTGTTGAGCAGTATTAGTTGATGGACACTAAAATTCTCCTGAATAAAGTGAATTATCATTCTGTTCTAGTGGCCTCCTGTTCACCCCGTCGGTGAGGGAGGAGTCCCCCACCCTAAATAATACAAGATGGCCAAACACCAAACCCTGGGCAGATGAAATAGCAATTTGTTGGTCACATATACTCACAGCCCAGAGGAGAAGAACATCCCATACCATGTAGGGCCACACTGGGGTTGGACTCAGAACAATCAGAGGCCATGGTGAGGCACACTTTGTAGTAACAAGGGGGTGAGATAACCCCTGGTTCCCACAGGAGGATGTGATTGGATTGTTTGAAGAAATTTGTTGGATGGCAAGAAAATGAAAGCCTGTTAGGTTGCAGACTGGTGGAGTGCAGCTGGTCTGACTAATAGGGAAACTAGCCAGGTGGAAGCCTTTTTCACTGGGGGTCAAGGGGACACATCTAGCAAGAACAAGGGAACTTATGGTTAGGTCTTTGGGGCCCGGTGACGCACAAACATATCAAGGCATCACATGGTGTTCTAGGCCACATAATACACATTGTCAGGGAGTTGGAAGTGTTTTATGATGTCTCACTCATTTTGAATGCAAAGAGAATACCAAGTGATAGATATATCCTCCTGCATGACTTAGCTGTACTGAAGCTTTTCAAAACAGGAGTGAGTCTTAAAGAAATAGACTTGAACTACTCTAAGCATTCTTTCAAGACTTTTAATAGTAGTAGCTATACTGGGTATAGTGCACACTTCTAAACACTGTAGGGAGCTATTAAACAAGAAGGGACACAGCCCTTTTCCTTTTTTTTTTTTTTTTTTTGAGACAGAGTTTCGTTCTTGTTCCCAGGCTGGAGTGCAATGGCGCAATCTCGGCTCACTGCAACCTCCGCCTCCCGGGTTCAGGGGATTCTCCTGCCTCAGCCTCCTGAGTAGCTGGGATTACAGGCACCCACCACAACGCCTGGCTAATTTTTGTATTTTTAGTAGAGATGGGGTTTCGCCATGTTGGCCAGGCTGGTCTCGAACTCCCGACCTCAGGTGATCCGCCCACCTCAGCCTCCCAAAGTGCTGGGATTACAGGCGTGAGCCACCGCTCCTGGCCACAGCCCTTTTCCTTAAGTAGCTCATGTATACATGACCATAGTGTCCTGCACAGATATCAATGCTCCTGTGGGACTTTTCCACATAGGTCATCATGCAAAGGAGAAACTAAGTGGATGCCATGAATTGTAATACTCCATATCTGTAAATAGAACATACACGAAGGGGAACCCTAGCATTTTTCCTATGTTAGGAACTTCAGCACAAGGCTAAACCCTGGAATTCTGTAATCAGATTACAAATCCTCCAAAAAATAATTTTAACATTTATTTCTATAGGTCCTGATGTAAAAACCAAGGGCCTAATGCAGGTCTGAGAGTCACTTTGAGGCAAATAAGAGCTGAAAGTCAGAGACCTGAGTTTGAAAACATTTTCTGATACTTTCTAGCTATGTGAGGTTACAAGGGGTTATCACCCAGAGCCTATGGGCTTATTTCTCTAACGAGGTTGTTAGAAGCATTATATGTGAGGGTGTCTGAGACTGAAAAATAGTAGATATTTCTACTTATCCAAACATCCGTATACAACACGCAAAATTATAAGAATCTTGGTTTTATATCAAAGTCAATTCAATAAAACAACAAGAAAAACACACAAGATGCAGCCCTGTAAAAGGTACAGACATCTTGCCAGAGAATAGAAGGGAGGGAAGTTGAATGAAGGTATTGGTGTTAAACATGGTTCCGGTGTCATGTTAGGTAAAAACATTTTAATTTGTCCACTCCAGCATTATGTATGCCCTCACTGTATCTAAATGGGTCAGAGTCCTAAATTAGCGAAACATCTAGTGGCCCCTCTACATCTTTAGCATGAACTTTTGGAATTGATCTTATAGCGCTGAATCTTAAATCAGGAAGAACTCTGAAACAGCATCAAATACCTACTATGTGTAACAGAGATCTTACATGATATTGACAACTAAGTGTGAAAGTGAAAATGACGAATAGTACTGCTATTTTAGAGAATTTCAGATTAGTAAAACTGGGACTATATTTTCATATAGCCTATATGTTAATAGGTTCTTCACATACTTCCTGAAGTGTGGAAGTAGAGGAGAGGCTATTATAGTGTTTGTGTTTGCCCTTATAGTTGACAGGAAGGTAAAAGGACTCCAGCTGTTGTGGATCAACAAACTTTGAACTTGTCCAATTTTCTCTATGTATAATTGAGAAAATCTTGGAACTTCACTAGGAGCTGTGTGTGAATATATGTTATTAATATTTATGGCTCTTTCTCAATAAGTTCTGGAATCCACCCTTGACTACTGGGAAAATCACAGGCAAATAGAGAGAACCTCAAGCTTTGTATAGCCCATTATATTTTTCAAAGCATTTTCACTGCTATTATCTCATTTAATCTGGTCCCAACCTATTATAGGCTATACAAGGAACAACGCTAGCAGAGGAAAGGAAGAGAAGAGAGGCTCCTGGTAACTGCACTAGCACAGAAATTTCTTATTTGCTGCTGATGTCCTGAAAGGCAAAACCCCTCCCTGCCCTCCTTCCACTCAGCCTCTTCCTTTCAGGGCATTCAATGGCAATTGTTGGAAATCTTGCTTTCATCCTTCCTTTTCTCCTCGGGCAGGCAGGGGGCCACAGAGCCATCAGCTTAAGGTTGCCTGCAGAGTGTTCCTTCTCCTCTCCCTGCTTATAGCAGAATGGAAAACTACAGGGAAGGAAAAACAGTGTGTGAATGCAGCAGTGAAAGCGCCAGACCTCTGAAAATCTGCAACCTGCTCTCCTTACCTGAGTTGTAAAAATTTAGGGGAAGGGTGTTAAGAATGGAGAATATGGAAATTTAAAGAAAGCGTGAGAGGGCTGAAATTCTCCCGTCTCTAAAAGCAGGTATTATTCTTCCTGACACTCCTGCCAGTGAGTGGATTCCATAGTTCAAAGGTCATTAACATGAAGAATTTCAACAGAATCTTGCTGTTTGTCTTTGAACAGGATATTCACAGTTGTGGAAGAAAACTCTAAGATCCACTATGCAGCTGAATTTGGTCAGTGTGGAGTGCCTAGAGCAGTATTATACATTGGAGGAACGTTTGTTGATAGGTCGAAGGACTACAGGTGACAAGTTGCTAGCACTTGTCCATCAGCCACTGGTGGTATTGAACGCTGTTATTTATAAACTGTGAACACAGATACATATTTTTTCTTTTCATGGGAATAGTCCTAGAGAATTTTAAGAACCAAGGAAGATGTCATCCCCAAACACACACACCTACACCCACACCCACGCCCACACACGCACACTTCAAGACTTAAGCTAAGCTTGGGTGCCAGAGGACAGTAGAATCAGATGAGATGGAAAGCTGTGTTTGATGCACCCATATGCACCCACAGGAAGCAGGAACCCAGAAGTTCCAGTTTCTGCTCCACACGAGTGATCTGGGGTGGTCAGCATCCAGCCAGTCTTTATTCAGTCTTCTTGAACTCTGACCCAACTGTGTGTCCTTAGCCAGATACAACAAATAACCTGTCTAGTTCTGATTCTAAAACCAGGTGGACAGAGAATATCATGAGTGTAGAATGTGAAATTACAATCTTCAATATCAAAGGGAGAGAGTACACCTTTTATGAGATGTCAGTTGTTTTTTAAGAAAACTGGAATAAAGGACACACACCTTTATGTAAATGACAGAGTTGAACACATAACTATCCTTTCTGCAATATTCAGAGAGGAGACTAGCAACACTTTCAGTAGCATTAGCTAAAGAGTGTGTGTGTTTGTGTGTGTGTGTGTGTTTTGCACTGTGAAAAACCAGATGGCATGTGATATAGCGTAAGAAACATTGGACTTGGAGTCAAGACAACTGAATTTTAATCCCAACTCCTCCCAACTCCCAACTTTAATTTCCAAAGTTGTCACTATACATACAACTTTGGAGAATTGCCTACCCTTTCCAATTCTTGGTTTCTTCATTTCTCAAAGTAGGCATGGTGCTAATTCATCCCCAATGCCCCTTCTGGCTATATAAGGTCAGCCCTGCATCGCTCGCCTTGGGCACATCTTTATTTAATCAAATTAAGAGCATGTTACACTGATTTTCCTAGATTAAACAGAATGTACCCAACTTGATATAGGAAAACTTAGTGTTTTCAACAATCTTACAGGAAGCAAAAGCCTCCTAACTGGGTGGGAATAGAAGGAGCTAACCACAAGTTTGAAGGTTGGAAGGTTAAAGCATGTTCTATTTTTCATCACATTCCCTGAAGAAAACATCCTATGGGACAAAAACTTCTCATTCTGCTTGTAATGGTATTTGGCACTTGAGTATTTCCTCACACATCTACAATATGTATTATCATGTTTTGAATTTTTTTTTTTTTTTGAGATGGAGTTTTCTCTTTGTTGCCCAGGCTAGAGTGCAATGACATGATCTTGGCTCACTGCACCTTCTAACTCCTGGGTTCAAGCGATTCTCCTGCCTCAGCCTCCCTAGTAGCTGGGATTACAGGCACCCACCACCACCCCCAACTAATTTTTGTATTTTTAGTAGAGGGAGGGTTTCACCATGTTGGCCAGGCTGGTCTCAAACTCCTGACCTTGGGTGATCCACCCGCCTTGGCCTTCCAAAGTGTTGGGATTACGGGCGTGAGCCACCTCACCCAGCCAAAAATTGGTATCTTTCTTAATTATTACCATGGAACTTAGAAGGAAAGGTTGCAATTTATTGTTGACTGTGTGTGCATGTGCATGTGTGAGTAAGGAAAGAAGAAAAAAAAGAGGAGGAAAATCAACAAAAAATGGAGAAAGCATTAATTACTGTTCATTTGTGTAGAAAGTTTCACTTCATTTTGACAATTCATTTTGTTATCTGTGATCATCATGTCCTTGATTCCTATATAATTGAAAGCTAACTCTAGAATGCTCTAACTTATATTCTAATACAGCCATAGCAAAGACGAAGCTTTATTTGGTGGTTCTGTAATCAACATGTAATTTTACGTAGCCATAGGTATGAATAATTTTTCAGTGATGTGCCAAAAAAGTGTTCCTCAAACTTGTTTTTTAGTTAGAAGAAAAATCTGCAGTTCTCGTGTGGCAGACATCCTATGTTACATATTCAGCTCTTGTTTTTCAATAGGAATTTGGCAAAGCCATTTATAATTTTTTTCAAAACATGAGAAAAAGTATACTTTTATTCCATGTACATTCTGCCCTTTAAGCCTCTAAATTTCACTGCTTGGAATAAATTAATAATGTTATGATATTAATAGAATTTTAGAAATATTGATAGAGAAATATTTTTTAATCCCATTTTAAAATAAGGATTTCTCCAAATTCCTATTCAGATATGCTCATTATCTCTATCTTTCAAGGTACAGAGAAATATTCTAATTCAACCAAATTTACTCCTGGAGCTTAAACTTTTAATTTCTGATATAATACTACTTTATCATTTATACCATAATGATACAATTTATCAGAGGAAAAATATTATGAAAGTTTAAGAAAACATTGGAATTCTAATATATCAAAAGACTGTTTCCTCTAAACCTATTGCGTTGTGTTTTAATATTGGGGAGCTTTTCACTTATTTAACTAAATTCAAAATAGCAATTTCCAACAAAGACCCAATTCAAATTAATTCCATAAAATGCACATTTTATTCTGTATCATGAAAAAATATCCACATTTAAATAAAGTGTGAAAAAAAGCAAAGTTAGTCCTCCCTGATGAAATACAGTTTATTGTGCTGAAACCCAGATTTCTTTTGGGCTAAAAGCTTCCACCTGCCAATTCACTTTTCAAAATGACCATTTTTTGAGAACAAACGTTAAATAAAGTGATAATCACCACAAACTTCCCAGAAGCAACTGAATTTTGATCACAATTGTTTCATAATTGACCCTAAAGTCACAAAGTTAAAATATTTTCACACATCCTGTCAGCAGTCAGGTGATAGGTCAACAGTACATACAAAATTTCTATATTATACATTGCAGTATCTTTGTTTAAGTAGAAAAAAGGATCTGCTTAGCATGAATCAGATTTTGAAAAAAGCCAACAAGTACTGCTTAGCATAATGGTATTAAAAACATCCCACATGAAATTTTTGCATTGTTTCCTTTGTCAATGCATGAATCAATTATTTCTGGTGAATTAACCCTTAAAGGCAGAGGCATTTTTAATACCCCCAATATCTCACCAATATGGTTGCAGTGACAAAAACATTTAAGAAGTTGCAAAATTAATTCCCATAGTAACATTAGTGTTATAGTAGAATTTACATTGTAGTATACAAAATGCCACAACTAGTGTAAACAAAGTCACTAGAACATAGACTAAAAAGAACTCTATAATTTTCAATATATCGTGAATCTGCACATTTTGTGTTGTTTGAGTACCAAGCACTTCTAAAAGTCATTGCTCTTTCAACAAACTACAATGGATGTTTTAGGGTAAAAAAATGGTTCTAAACTGGTTTCCACTTTTCATAACAATCACTTAAGAAATCTGTTCCTAATATGAAATGCATATTCCCCCTTGCTTTATTAACTGTGAACAGGTTCTAAGGTGGAAGGCGACTGCTTGATGGAAGATGCTGGTGCAGTCAACCCTAAGGAGATGAAAGTGAACACTACACTTATTCCCTCTCTGATAAAGGGTCATAAGAATAGCAATGTGAAAACATCCCTGCAGAGGTCAAAAAAGCAATTCTGACAACTGTTTTTTCCTGAAAATGAAATAGGCTAATCTTGATTTTAAATGAAAGTGCGTTTGGATTTTGTGTAAGTTGACAGTTCATGGCTGTGACATAATATACCAATATTAAATACTTAGGACTATCAAACACTGTAACATGGAATTATAAATGAATCTTTGTTGTGATTTTGCATAGTTTACTAGCTAGGTATTCTTCCTGTTTGCAGTCTTGGCTTCATCAGGAATCTTTCCCGCTATAATTTGGTTGAAAAAGTTGAGGAGCAAATGAGGGGTCCATGGCAACAATGGTTCTAGGAACAACAATAATCTTTATGTTGCTTTTTGCCAAAGTCCAATTTCTCTAACTCAATGGAGAGTCTGACCAAAAGCTTTGGATAGAGGGAAGTGGTTACATTTTATATTATGAAATATGATTTAGCAGAGAATGGGGATAAAATTACTTAAATTAGTTATTATGGATACTCAATCTGGTTTATTGAAGCTTCAAGGTGAATATTTTGGCTTTGACTGCTTTGGTCATTCAACAGTCAGTGATTCCGCATGAATGAGAGAGAGTGATCAGATCTTTTTGTTTCCTCCCATCAAAATGCAGCCCAACCAGCCAAGTGCTTAGGGGATTGGGTTTGTAGGTCAGAACCAGAGGTTCTAAACTCATTGGTTGGTGGGAGAACACTTATTTCTAAAGAAGGCCCCAGCATTTGACAAGCTTTCAAACTGCTTCCAAAGGTTTTTGTTAAAACCTTAATGACAATGTGTCATCTTAAAAACAAATAAACAAAAGCTATTTAAAAGGCACCACATACAGAAAACTCATTAAAAGGAAGCAACTGCTGTCCCTTCTCCACACTCCTTTTTCCTCAGTTATAACTCTGGTCATAAGCTGCACTTTTTGGTTTACTCTTCTTTGACCAAGTGCCTTTACAAGTAGTACAAGACATGACCTCATTTAAATAATCATGCAGTGGTAATGTAAAAGCCAGGATGGAAGTGAGCTGACTATAAAAAGCTTTGGATGGTGTCAGTGGGGTCCTTCACAGTCATTATTTTAAAAGTAGGATTCTTCCTTTCTATGATTACCTCTGGCTCAGTTATTAGCCAAGTGAAAACAAGATGGTTTGGGCTGAAGATTCCAGCATGTAGTGTTGTAATATCTTGTTTTTTTCTCCTTATCTCAAGACACTTGCTTTAGAAATCTCAAAGGGTAGAACAAATAAATCACATTCAGAAAATTAACATTTTTTCATTAGAGAAAATTATTGAAACTCTCTGAAGTAAATATACATACTGTGAGCTCATTAATTTTGGAAATAAGGATACAAGTTGCCATTCTAAACAGAAATAGTTCATTTGGATAATGTATTTAATAGTGGTTTGGCCAAGAAGCCAACATCAGTGCAATCAATAAAAATATCTGAATAATCTACTTAAAACCCAATGAGTCAAAAAATAAATTTTAAAAATAAATTCTGGAGTCTCATCCAAATCCCACTATTAAAAAGAAAAAGAAATTATAGAAAAAAAATCCTGAATGACTCTTGCTTTCCTTAACCATTAGGCATTACCTCTTTAGGTTAAAATTCAACTGGAAAAGAAAATGTTGATACCAGTGACCATATATCAAACATACCACATTTGACAGTTTACTTTGGCCGATGTCTTTCAACTGTTAGGAGAAGTAAAGGAAAATTCCACTGTTGGGACAGGGCACCTTTTGCTTAAGACAGTATGATTTCAAACTCTGTCATTGACTCTGACCTATCAAGAAAAACCAAACATTTACATTCACATTATCGAGTGCAATTTTTAAGAATTATTTTAAGAAATCTTTAAAAGTATGTGTCTGGAAAAACCTAGACTAGATGGTTGAACTAGATAGTTCTTGTAATGTCAGTATTCTACAAAATAAAGGTTTCTCCCTAAGGTCTGACTGCCTGTGTTAGAAACTCAACTTTACCATGTAACAAGTATGCCATCCTGGACAAGTTCCTTAACCTATACCTTCATGGGGTTGCTGCAAGAATTAAATTTGATAACCTAAATAAAATGCTTATCATAGTGAGACCTTGGTAAATATAAGCTTAGTTAACTTATTTAACTTCTAAGCCTAAGAGTAAAGAAGCAGATAGATTCTAATCAGTCTTTTCTCAACCCTTGCCTTCATCATCTTTCTAGTTCCCAGTCCAAATCCTCAGTGGTCCTGACCCTCATAAAGAATGCAAACACAGGGGTCTTATCCTACAAATGAAGTGATAGAAAATCTCAAGTCAGAATATAGGCCAAAACTTACAACACATAGCACATAGTTAAGAATTTTGTTATAAGAGTGTCTGCCCATGTGGAATCATATATCTTGAACAGGTCATGATTATTTTAATATAAAAAGTTGAAGGATGAACTACTCTAGTTTTTATTTGTATAAATTTAAGGGGTACACATTCAGTTTTGTTACATAGATACATTGGTGAACTACTCTATACCTTGGCCACTTACCAATTTTTTCACAAAATTGAGAATTTCTGCCAAGCAGTATGATTAAGTAGAAATAAGAAAAATCACAAAATTTACCTATCTTTCTCTTCTCTCTCTCTTCTGTCAAAGGAGCTTCATTCTTTCCACGTTTATTTGATTTGTAGTTCTAAATTCCCACATAAGTATGAAGTTTTATGCTTACCTGCCACTAGCAAACTATGCCTCTCTCCATTAACCTCTGACCAGATAAATCTCTTCTAAAACCTAAAAGAATATTTAGATAAAAATCACATCACCGTCAATCCCTGAAATCTCTTCTAAAATCTAGAAGAATATTTTGATAGAGAGTACATCGTGGATACTCTTCTATGAAAGAATGAAAAAGTGATCACTTGTCATAATGTGATTTTCACCTGCAAGAAAGATAATTTTTTCATTGACCAATAGCATGTTGATATAAGGAAGCAACAGCTGTTATCTTTGTTTTCTTATTTATTGGCGGGGAAATGGTACCATTTGGTACACTAGGAAAGGTTAACTTGCCCATAATTACACTTCTAGTTTGTGGTAAAGCTAAATTCAGAACACAAGACAAAGCTCAGATACTAAGACTTAAGGTGTTTTCCAAAAGACTGTTTTTGTCTTTTCCCCCTTTCCATTAAGATGAGAAGAGAAATACTTTTACACCTAATAGAAAAAATTATAGCACAACATTCACATGATTATAAAATATTCATATTTGAAAGTTATCCATGTATGATATGCACATTCTAGATAAATGTTCTCATTACCTACATGGAATTTTGGAAAACAAACTCATAGAAAATTGCTTAAAAGATAAAAATTATACAAGATAGTGGAATTCATTAGAAATATGATGAATAATTTCACAAATATCTGCCACTGCACACTTCAAAACAGTCACTGCTCTGAAGGCTAATATTAAAAAAAATTCCAAATGACTTTAGCTATTTAAAATAAGATATCAAATGGACCAGATATCACAGGGTGAACAAAATCTCCTTAAACAGAAGGGAAAATGTGATTTTCATTTGGGCTCCAATAAGGTTAATTTTGATAATGGTACTTTAGTTAGCGGTCACAACTAATTTTCCTATTAAAGTGTTGAGTACAACAGAAGTACACATTTTTTCTAGAGCAATTTCAAACCCCAGATTTTCCATTTTTTTCTCTGATATACATAAAGTTGTTTGTAAAAAATACTTAGGACATTTTTAGTCCTATACTTAATGCAAGATGCAACTAGTGTCATAAAAATTTTCCATTTTAACAATGAAGCATGGGCCTGTATTCAACCACGTCATTCAATTCAACCACTGTGCCTGAACCATTTTCAGTACCATTCATATAGCTTTGGTATTGTCATCTGGCTTTTGTGTGCCTATTTGCTTTTTATCATAATCTCTTCCATCTGCTAGATCACATTTAGTGCAACAATATCCTGATACAGACTGATAAAACCTGCCATTATGATACATCACTCACATTTCCATTCTAATTTGACTTTTGCTATTTTGTTACAACCACCTGTCGAGGATACAGCATCTGATCTTACCTATTAATAACATCATAGAAAAATATTGAAGGTGTGTAAATTGCTTTGGAAAATGTTTGGATTTCTAATACATATCCATTTACTCCTATTAATATATTATTTAGAAATATAATATTAAAATTTTTATTCTGGATGCACCAAGAGCATCTATACAGTGTAGGAATAAAACATGCAGTTATCTGGTCCTCAAAAGAGCATCTACTGTCTATGTGCTAGTTGAGGCAACATAGAACATGATTTTATCATTATTGCATGTATTAAAGCAAATATTCTCCCTTCATTCAAATCTGAGTAAATTCAACTGCTAAGATTTGTGGAATCTGGGAACCTAAAAGACTACTCTATATACAATGTTTGCTGAAAACATGCATTCCTGCTGAAAACAGCAGGGTGCATTCAGCACCTCTTCATATCATGCACACAGAGAACAGAGATGGCTGAAAAGACACTATGATAACTGCACCATAATTAAACAATTGATACTTTCCCTCCTTCCTAACAATCTGGAGTAATTCAAAACCATTATGTTTCTCACATATATGAACAATAACATTGTAGGTCGATTAGGTGAAACTCTACGTCAATGTCAGAACACAGTAAATATTTGCACCACTAATATGCAAAGCCATGAATTAGAACTTCAAATCATCATGTTGTTCACAGTCATTCTTTTATAGCTTTACACCAATAGTTAGTTTTGAAGCACTGGCTAAAGTTAAACTAACAACTTCTATAATCAGATTCTTATTTTAACCACACATTCACCTTTAAAAGCTTAAGCCAAACTTGACTTAAACAAATAGAAAAATACCCTGAAATTCAATAAATGTCAGAGGTCACGAAAAAGATATCATCCTCACCATGAAAGCAACAAAATTCCAATTTCAAGGCTGATTCTTTACTCCATAATTATTTCATTTTCTTGTGTTTGTGGTAGGTAGATATTGTAGCATTACATGGAGACGTGTTCCCCTGAAAACTTCCATTATGGTTAATGGAAGTTATACGCATAAAGAAAGGAAAATGGAGCCCATGGCTCATATGTTTTGAGACTCCTAGATTAAAGAGGCACATCTTGTGGGCATGTGAAGTTCAATAGAAATTCTAAAATAGCAACTGTTTTTATAAATCACTGTTTTGCACTTCTCAAGTCTGAATGTGATAACATGTCTTTCAGTTCTAGTGGCTTTGGTTGGGAATACTGGGAGATAGAAAAGCTCATACAAATGGGTATAATAGATCAAGATATCTCCTTCGATTTTGCCATCATCTTTTGCATATTGTTAACATATATGTACAGATGGTCCCGTAATATATAAATTACTCACACATTTTTTTCAACTTCATGCAAACACTAACTCCCCTGCTCCCCATATTAAATGCTGTGCATGCACTGACTGAAAAGTATGCTTCCCTGAACGACTTCCTAAAATACAGTTTAGTCAAAAGAAATAAGTTCTCCTGGGTTCTTACAAGTGAATGTGTATTTTATTCTCAATCCTTATCATTTAAGGGACTAGCTATATACAGGACAACTCTTTGTGACTTTTTTTAAAAACTTGATAATAGGCACTTTCTACAAAGAGGATTTGAATTCAAAAGACTAAAATTCAGTCTTTAGTATCCCCCTTTCACAAATGGACCTGCCTGAGCCACAATAGCTTATTGAATCAACTCAGCAGAAGTCCAGCAGTAGAACTGTGTGCAAAAAGCTTTAAAAAACTATAACCACAATAAAATGATAGAAAAGCAGTTATCTGAGTCGAGCAACTTAATGTCTACTTCTTGGTTGGTTGGTTTGTTTGTTTTACCACATTTCATGTGTTATCACTACAAACACTAGGATTCATGTGTCAACAATCCGTACCAGTGTTTCATTCTTTCTAAGTTATATACATGCCACAAAAATTTATCTATCTGTTTACATTCTTTTTTATTTTATACCATAATAGTTAGCATTTTGATATGATTACTTAAATGCTTTATTTTTTGTATGTTTCTTTGCTAACAAGCCTTTCAATGTCACTCTTGAACATGTTTTGGAAATACAAATTTAGAGCATTTATCAGCTTTGGAAATTCAGCATCTCTTACATGAATTGTCAAAAGGCCCTTATACCCTGTGGTGCAGTGTTTCTATAATAACATACTCTATATTAATAGTTTAGTATTTATGATGTTGATAATGTCAGCTTACAAGATGGCAGCTGTTCTCCAAGAAGGAGGGAGTAGGGATTTCCTTACATAAGAGCTAATGATTACTATCTAAGTATAATGTTAAAAAACGAGAGGTATAGTTGATCAAAAATGTAATTCATGCACAAAACCCATAGCAATAAGTTTTCAATATCCCACACTCTTATCTGACTTAGGCAACTAAACAGTCATTTAAATGGAGCAAACACTGCCTGTAGGGGAAAAGAACCTAACACTAAGTTACAGAAAAATATCCTATGGAAAGAGATCATAACATGGTACTAATAGTTTAAAAGACTGAACTCTTCCTTGGCATTAATCTATACTTTTAACTTAACAGAACAGTGAGAAAATGATAGCTCGATATACATACTCAGCCTGAGATCAAATTTGTCATGGCAACATTGGCAGGTTGGACCCTGATTCTTCAAATATTACATTGCCTTGGGTAACAAAAATCATACTCTTTTATTATAGAATAGAGATTATAAATAAATGTAAAGTGTGCATGCAGTCAACTGCATAATATACAAGCAATATCTATGTTTTTAATCATCATCTTCTTTGGCAGGCCAGAATCCAGCTGGACATGCAATATTTACATATCAAAATCCATGTGTGGTCATCATCTTGAAAGCAAGTGAAAATATATATATGTATATACTGTATATACACACATATGTATATACTGTTTTAATATATTAACAAATATATATGTATATATATTAAAAGTGGATTTCATCTTTGTCAGATTCAGGTGATTCAGGCCTTGAGACACTAAAAATATCCTGACATGGTATCTGGGGGGGTACTTGGAGTGGCATTTGGGATTTGGGAGATGAGGCCTGGGGTACGCTTTTTTCCGACAGTATTTTTAAAATTTCTGCCACCTGCTTTTCTAGGGCAGTCATTCTGCAGCTGAGCAGCTGGATGTCCTCTTTGAGTTCGTGTTTGACTTCCTGCAGTGTGGTCTGTAAGGCCTGCTCGGGGATGGGATAAAAGGGGTGCTTGGCATCAGCCTGGATGGGACTGTGCTCTAGCGGACTTCGGGCCTCCCCAGCCTTATCCAAACGAAGGTCACTTTTTGTAATTCCACTGTCACAAGAATCTGTTTTTCTTAGTGGGTTTTTGGTCACACTGTTCTCTGAATCACTGCTCTTGGGGTCCTCAGACAATAGCCCCATTGACTCAGCTTTAGTGACATTATTCCAGTCTTCCTTTTTCTCCTCATGGGCTCCCATATTATTCTTGAGTCGCAGCCACCCTTTTCCATTTCCATTCTTCATTCTTATTGGGCTGTTGACTTTGAGACATTTTTGGTCAGCACCGCCGTTGGGCTTGAGTTCCATGGCATCACGGTTGTTCTGCTTAAGGGATTCACTGGTTTTCACATAGGCCAGAGACGTCTGAATGGGAGTAATCTGTGACACAGTCACCACGCTGGTTCCGGTGATGGAGGCTCCATTCTGTAAGGAGCGGCTCTCTACCTGGAGTTGGTTCCTCTCAGGGTCACCCTGTGTTGAGCCCTGATTCCGCAGCTCCTTCTGCTGCTTGAACTTCTGGAAGAGCTTTCTGACTGGGTGGTCCACGGGAATGCTGAGGGTCACCTCATTCTTCTGCCGGAGGCGCTCCTCCTCCTCTTTCTTCACATCACTGATCTTACGAAAGATGATCTGTGGAACGGGAGAGATAGTCACAGCCTGATTATAAAAGCAGATGGATTAACAGTTGTATAATACTATGCTGTATGTGCTTTGTGTTACAAAGAAAACCCTTGAATATTTGATAAGATTATTTCTCAAGAAAAAAAAATTTAAATACCATTTATGGAATTGCATTTATGAAATTTATGGATGCAATATGGCTTAAACCCAACATAGAAATGTTGGCTACTTACTTACTTAGTTCTAGTCCCCTACATATCAGAGGGAGAATTACTCAAGAGACAACTGAATAGAGAGGTACTTTGCTTCTAGTTTATGTTCCCCTTATATTGCCGTTAGTAGGAAATACACACATACATACACACATACATATTTGTATATGTATATATGTGTATACATATATAAGGAAATACATATTTATCCCTTAAATTTCTCTGTAATGAATTGCCACTTTTGTATGATTTTCCTTATTGTGTAGAAATAAGTTTCAAAACCATTTTTAATATTATCCTCTGTTGGCCGGGCGCGGCGGCTCACGCCTGTAATCCCAGCACTTTGGGAGGCCGAGGCGGGCGGACCACGAGGTCAGGAGATCGAGACCACGGTGAAACCCCGTCTCTACTAAAAATACAAAAAATTAGCCGGGCGCAGTGGCGGGCGCCTGTAGTCCCAGCTACTCGGGAGGCTGAGGCAGGAGAATGGCGTGAACCCGGAAGGCGGAGCTTGCAGTGAGCGGAGATCGCGCCACAGCACTCCCGCCTGGGCGACAGAACGAGACTCCTTCTCAAAAAAAAAAAAAAAAAAAAAAAAAAATTATCCTCTGTTTGGGTATCAGATAGTAAGAATTCCAGGCTATAAGTGTACTGAAAACTTACACAGTTTAGCAAATGGCATCTGGGTTGGGTGAGGGGAGAATTTAAATTGATTTATGCGACCCTAGAAGGCAGAACTAGAATTTGTGAGGAAAAGTTTCCGGGAGGTAACACCAGCTTAGTACACAGACTTCATTGCAAACTGCTCTCTATTGAATAAACTGCCTCGAAAACTCATGATCGTTCTACCACTAAAAGGTTAAGATAGAAGTATGTTTTCCATATGACATGTTCACTGGGTTGGAGGTTGAACTCTTCAATTTCCCAGATTCTTTACATTTTAAACATAAAATTAAATACATAGTACAGGTGAGGGGTTAGATATCCACAAATAAATGAGCATCATTTTATTTAAAATGTATTTTGAAGATAATAATGGGAAGAACTTATGATAACCCCATCAGAAGAAATAAAAAATGTTGGCTATATAAGAAATTGCCACATATATTATCAGAGTTGGAAGTAAAGTTAATAAGTGTGAGATTTTTGCTCAGAGTCCTGAAAAGCAAAGTAACTGCAGGTGAAGGCTGTAAGGAAAATCAAAAAAGAGTTATATTAGATAAGGCACTTTCAGAATCAGACAATTTTATCACTCAAGGAAAATAACTTACCTTGATCACCCTCTGTAGGTTGTTGGTTAGAGTAGAAACACATGTGAAGCACGTGTTCTCTAACCCATAACAGACACTCAGCATACGTTGGTTCTCTCTCCTTGAACTCTCATAAAATACTCCTATCTGAAACCATTTACTATCTTTTGAATATTCAGCAGCTGCCTGGAGTAACATATAATCATTGATTTTACACCAAAAACCAATACTACTGATGGTCACCGTTAACAGAAAAGCCAGAAAGATAGGAATTCCCCTTCCAGGTAAGAGTACATTTTCTAAAATGAGATTGATGCACTAAATTCAGTTTATCGAGTGGTACTAATTTGTATTTTGAAATAAATTCAGTAACTGTCTGTAAAGGCCAACATATTTTTTCTTGTTAGTGGCACATGAAATTGGGTCTTTTTAAAATATGTAATAATAATCTCAAATTCTGACATCAAAGCTCCAGCAGTTTAATTAGAAGTCTTTCAAAGGGTTGACACAATTCTTATGCTTCCCAAGTAAACATAGGTTGTACTAAGTCTTCAAGATATGAACATTCTTTAGAACCAGACAGACCCAGACACAGGAACGCAGATACTATTTTCCTATTTCAGCCCCTTTTTGAAAAAGTACTCACTTTGATTCTATGGGTGGACATGAGAGGCCTAATATGAATGATTTTCCACATCCCCCTTCCCACTCACCACTTACCCTTTTTATTTTTTTAAGGTGGTTGTTTAGCCTAGGATAGACATAGTGTTGGCTCGATGTGGTAACTGAGAGCAGCCTTCACATTTGGGAAAATGGAACCGTTTCAAAGTCAGTGGAGTGTGACAAGTGGTAGGCACACAGGAAGGTCAGGTAAAATGCAGGTCCCCTGTGCAATATTTGGGACATACTAAAAACATCAGACATTATAAATCTGAATTGGACATATGTATCCTTTAACAAATATTCTTTGTTTATTCAAATTTTAATTTTACCTGGGAGTCCTGTATTTTTGTTTGCTAAATTTGGCAACCCTATTGGTATATAATAGACAAGGACATTCCTATTTTGTAATGTCTACATGTCCTGCCATGCAGAGACTATAATGAAAGATTTGGTATTACTGACATCTGAGAATTTGTGGGCACCTTAGGCAAGAGCCTTATTTGTTTAGATCTTTGAATATAATGGCTAATAATTGCTTGCAATTATTGTGTGCTTACCAAGTTCAGGGTGTTTTGTGTTGTAAGACTGTAACATGTCCATGTAAAATATCAATAAAATAAATCTTTCCCAGCTTCCTTGACCACCAGCTGCCCCCCACCCACCCCCAACCAAGAACAAACAAAAGTGTTTGAATTGCTACTATTTAGCTAGAAACAAAGACTCCAAATACCAAAATACATAGAGCAAAGGGGGTCTTGGCACAGGGCTTGATTTCTCACCTATACTAGGGGACAAATGAGACAGAGCTGGATCTGTATTTTGCTGTCGAGAAATGTAAAAGTAACTGGGAAAGAGAAAGAATCGAGCTCTGGTACATTAGATGACAGAATTCTGAGTATTGCACATTGTTCCTTTCCCCCTTTTTACGCCCGGGAGATAGGAAGTTAAGTAATTTTAAACATAGCTCCCTTGAGGTTTGAGGGTACTTATGACCAACAAGACTGGTCCTGAATTGTCATCAAGTTTGCAGAACAGCAGGACCTACACATCCAATCTCAGGAGCCAGCAATGCACAGCGGAAAAACATGCTCTTTAGAGAGCCAAAGTTCCCCTCTTTGCTCCTTGCCCTTCACTTCCTTTATAGCTCAGAGGGGTACTGGCTAGGATCCCCTAGAGCTCAGGAAGCCACTGAACGTACTCATTTGTGAATTCAGTCTGCTAGAAGCCAGGCAAGGCAAAAGCACTGTGTGAGGTGGGAAAGGTTATTGCACCCTGTAGGTGATCTGCCACCAGGGACTTTCAGGCCATCAATTATGCCACACATAAAGAGAGCCAGCAGTTGGACGTGACTAGCTCAAAAGCCAACACTCTGAGGAGTGGCTACAGGCCCTCCAGATCTCAGACACAAGCCCTAGGTCCTGAAGTAGATCCCCCTTTCTCCTTAGCAGCAGGGCCTGCTGACAATCTGCAGCCCAGTGAGAGGAGAAGCAGGTGCAGGAGGAAGGTTAGAAAGAGGGGGTCATGAGGCGATTTATCACCCAATCTATACAATTGGAACTGACACCTAACCGCAAACAGTAACACTTGGATTTGGTCAACTACTTATTATATCCAGGTTTTTAAGAGGTAGTTTTTTTTAAAAAAAATACTAGTTTGAATTGACTTTATAGGATTAGAATAAGACAAATTGACATTTGTTTTATTTTACTTTTGACTATGGAACAAAATAATGGCATTGTAAAATGATAATAAAATATCTGTATATAGCAAAGTGGTCACTTCCACACACGTATTTTCTCATTTAAGTGTCATGGAATGAGAACATTTTACGAGCTAGGACCTATTATTCTCTACTGTAGGACACAGGTCATATTATTCTTTTATCACAGAGAAGCAAATTGAGGCATAAAGAGTTTAAGTGGTTTCCCTTAGGTCACACAACTGTGTGTCCAGGATGCAAATCCAAGGGGTCAGATTCCAAACAGTCTTAACCATTCCACTCTCCTGCTCCTCAAGGTAACTTTTATACTTTCTCCTGGACTCCGTGAAAACTCGGATAGATGAATGGGTGAAGTAGGAAGTCGTGCAGCAGTTTCACACCCAGCAGGTCACCCTTCACAGAGCGTTTGCCATGGAGAACCATCCCTGAAAGCAGTGAATTGAACACAATTGAAGCTGTATACTTGCTGGGAAAGCGGTAGCCTAGACCTTGAAAGAGCTTTGTGCGAGGCAGTCTCTAGACTCTCCTTACTCTCCAAAGCAGAGCCAGTAGGCTTAAACACATGCTACCATTTTGCAGCTTCTGGTCCCCTTCAAGGACACCTTGTGTTTTTGTTTTGTTTTGTTTTTAACTTTCTTCTACATATATTAAATACACTACCTTTATGGAAGGCAGGGAGCAGGGAGGGTCAAAGAATGTGACTTTCCCTGGACTCTGACATCAACCTTGATTCCACTTACACCTAAATCATTTGTTTACGAGAATAGGGATTTCTGTCTGCTTTGCTAACTGCTATATCTCTAGTGTCTGTAACATTTGTAACATTTGTAATAAACAAATGTTATGCATTAGTTCAATAACCTTTTCATACATTCAGCAAATGTATGACGTGGTGCGTCTAGGAATGGAAAATGTTACAAATAAGCAGGGCACTTTATAGTTCCTTCACTATGTTCCACTGTCTAAACAAAGAATCAGTGCTATCTGTATATTATTATTATTATTATTGATCATTAATGTCTACTCCTCATTTGGAAGCAGGAGCTATATCATTTGCCTTCTGGCATTCCTAGAACCTACCCAACTACTGAGCAAATGCATACTGGGTAGACTCAGGTTCAAATCTTTGACCCACAAATCAGTCATTGAAAGGTCTTGAATCAGAACCTGCTTTGATTTCATTGCAAGGATGCAGTAATATCCACTAGAAGCTCATTTTCTAGCTTATGAGAAAACAAAATTTTCTTTCCTACTGCAAGGTAAGAGAGTATAGGCACTGATTTTGAAATGGAAAGCTTCATTAAAAACAAATGAAAATGAAAAGGTGATTTAATCATGCTTATGGACTTTAAACACTAATTCACAAGGTGCTACCACCAGCTGATCCATATCTTGTACGCAAAGTATGATAGTTCTTTGTTTTATTTTAAGTTTAAAAGAATGTACAAATATAACAAATAAAAAGATAAAACATCAGGGATGCCTAATATAAGTAACTCACTGTATTTCAAAAACACTAAATGTAATTAGGCCCTCTCTACAAGTCCTTACAGTTTTAGAGACAGCTTTATGACCTAAGCTCCAATTTTGAGTGACACTGAATATTTATTACCAAGAAAGCTATATTTCCATGGTAATTATTATACATTACCATTATGAGTATTCTCAAATTAATTCTACTGAATGTTTCCTTTTAAGAAGGGCCTTTTGGCTGGGCATGGTGGTTCATGCCTGTAATCCCAGCCCTTTGGGAGGCCAAAGTGGGAGGATCACTTGAGCCCAGAAGTTTGAGACCACCCTGGGTAACACAGGGAGACCCTATCTCTACAATAAAATTTAAAAAAAAAAATAGATATGCATGGTGGTGCATGCCCGTGGTCCTAGCTACTTGGGAGGCTGAGGCAGGAGGATCACCTGAGCTCAGGAATCTGAGGTTCCAGTAAGCTAAGATCATGCCATTGCATGTCAGCCTGGGTCTCAAAAATAATAATAAATAAAAATTTTAAAAAGAAGGGCTTTTTACCTTTAGCTTTATTTTTAACATGCATATAGTAAAATGGTTCAACTTAACATAGTGGAAACATTGATGAATTTGATTTAGTTAAACTCTTTAAAATGGTGTGTTTTTATTTACATTTTAAAAATTGCACCCAACACTTTGGCCATTGAAAGAATCTATAAACAGTAAGATTTTTCATAATCCAATTGAATCTTTCATGGGCAACTGGCAAATTGTAACTCAAAAAGTAAAATGTCTCCTGCTAATTCAATATGTAATTTATATAGCTTAATTTTACCCAATTATTATATAGATGATCATTTTTCTCTAGAAAACAAGCATTTTTTTAAACCATGAAGAAATTATTATAGAAAGTGTTAAAGGATTTGAGTTCATAAGAGTTCAACTTGTATGAATTAAATGGTGTGAAAAATATATATCCTTACTTATCAATGTAGTATTAAAAGAAATCAGCTTTTAAAAACCTAATATTTGGTTTTATTCTCAGTATTAAAAACCTAGACCCTTTTTACTTCATGTACATTGTGTCCATCTTTTGTCCAATGGCAAATCAGATTGCTGCTGAACACTATAAAAATTAAGGACAAAATTTAAAAACCAGAAATCAGGCTACGGTTCCAGCTACACATTTATTGGTAGAATGCACAATAACCTGTACTGTTTCTATCAGCAAAGAGGTTTATTTCATTTAAGCTTTTTTTCCTCTGTGCTTCATTATGTTCTGCAGAATCCATGCTGGAAGGTTTAATTTATTTAAGTGATAAAAGCTTCTTAAACTTAACAGGGAACATGGCCAACTGAGCTTTCCATTTCAAAAGTAGGACATTTGATCATAAAAGTGATATCAAAATTGAATAATTTGAATGTGTACTGAACTTTGAAATCCAATAAAGGCAAGAAAAAAAAGGTTAGAATCATTTGTTTAATGTCATGGATTCAGTGTTACATAATTTGAGGAAAAGAGAGAGGTGTTTTCTCTCAAATGGCTCATCACTTTCTAGATCTGTGAATCGACTAGGAATTTATAGCTATATGTGATCAAGCAGTGAGTAGCTCTGGTTCATCTGACTCTCCTGGGATTTAGTTGGTTTGATTCTTTGGTTCTTCTTACTGCTTCCATCATCTTAGTCACGAATTCTAACTCTAGCCCTCCAATCCATGACAACGTGAACTAATACAACAAAGCATTATTTATTCAATGCTACCATGTATATATCAGAGGCTGTACACTCTCAGTGAAGGCCACAGTGATGGGGCTGTCGCAAATGACCATTCTACAAATTTAGATGTGCTTAGGGTAACAATGATGCATGATACTCTGTTTTGAGATGTGGCAGCCTTGTTTACTTCAGCCACTCATCAATCTGTAAGCTCTCCGAGGGCACAAAATGTGTTATAGATCTAGTCCAGTCTCTTAGGTCCTAAAATTTTTGAAGAATTAATTAATTAAGTAAATGTAAAGAAAAAGGAAGGAAGGAAAATGGGTAGAGAGGAAAAAGAGAGGAAGGCAGAAAGGGAGGAAGGGAGGGAGGGACTGAGGGAGGGAGGAAAGGAGGGATAGGGAAGGAATATCTTTTGGTTTTGCTAATGTGGCAGGTGATGCCTAATGTAAGAAGGATTAGTATGATGCAAATGCAAAAGATTCTAGGATTACTAATACAGTTACTGAAATAACTAATGAAATGTTCTAAGCGTCATTTTCTTTACCATGTAAAAGATCATTTATCTCAATTCTTCAGGCTATCATAAACATGAAAATATGTTTTTCACAATGAACAAAACATTGTAAACTTTATCAATGCTAGCCTAACTTTGAAATATGGTGCTCAATACCTATGTTTTTATTTGTACAAATTTTTCATTTAAAAAAATATAGAAGGAAAGCAAAGTCTTCAAGAGCAAGAATACAGCTATTCCAAGGTTAATCTGACAAGGTTTTGATTCACTGTATCAAACATTGCAGTAGCCCATGAATTGCTCTCCTTGCCTCAATTTTTAGTCTCGTTTTTCTTCATTCTACTCTTTGATGTTGAATATAAAATATAATAGTATACTAGTCTAAAAATTACAGAATAAAATCCAAACTCCTTAGTAAGAAGTCAGCAATCCAGCAGTGGTCCAGCCCTACCTACTTCTCTAACCTCTGCTTCCTTCACTCCTCACTTGGCCTCCACACACCTGCCACACTGAGTCACTTTGAGTTCGAGCATGTATTCATGATATTTGCATATACTGTTCCCCTTCTTCCTCCTCACCCACTGGAGAACTCCTACTTGTCCTGTGATACTCAGCTCAACTGTGTCCTTCTTTATAAGGTAGTTCTAGCTACATAATTTTCAGAGCCCGATGCAAGATTAAAAAGTCAGGGCCTCTAACATCATACTTTATAGTAAAATACTAGAAGCTTTCCCCCTAATATCAGCAAAGAGAGGCGCAGGTATGATCCCATCACTTCTACTTAACATTGTATTGGGGGGTTCTAGCCAAGGAAATTGTCAAGAAAATAAAATAAAAGATATCCAGAATAGAAAGGAAGAATTAAAACTCCTCTATTTAGAGATGACATGATCATGCATATAGAAAATCTTAAGAAATACATGAAAAACCTGCTAGAATGGATAAAGGAGTTCAGCAAGGATGCAGTATACACATTCAATATAAAAATCTGTTGTATTTCTATGCACTAGCCATGAACCATCTGAAAATGAAATTAAGAAAATAATGTTATTGACAATAGCTTCAAGGAGAATAAAAGGAATAAATTTATCAAAAGAAGAAGTGTAGGAGTTGCACATAGAAAAACTACAAAACATAGACATATATTAAAGAAAACCTAAATAAATGGAAAGATCTCATGTTTACATATTAGAAAACAATATTGCTAACATGGCAATACTACCCAAGTTAATCTATAGTTTTGATACAATTTTCATCAAAATTTCAACAGCCCATTTTTCAGAAATTGATAAACTGACTCTAAATTTTAGATGAAAATGCAAGGGACCCAGAATAGTTGAAACAATATTGGAAAAAGAGAACAAAGTTGGAGGACTTACACTTAACACTTTTAAAATTTATAACAAAACTACAGTAATTAAAGGATTTGGTACTGGCATAAGAATAGACATAAATATCAGTGGAATACAACTGAGAGTCCTGAAATAAACCTATGCATCTATGGTCAACCGGTTTTTGACAAGGTTGTCAAAGCAATTCAATGATGTCTTAAAGAAGAATAATCTTTTGAAAAAATGATACTGAAACAACTGCATATACACAAACAAGAAATGAATGTGGATATCTGCCTAACACTATATACAAAATTAAACTTATAATGGATAAAAGACCTAACTGCAAGAGCTAAAACTTTAAAGTTCTTAGAAGAAAGCAAAGGTGTAAATTTTAGTGACCCTGAATTAGACAATGGTTTCGTAGATAGGTACGTAAATCTCAAGGCAGCAAAGAACAAATAAATTCATTGGACTTCATCGAAATTAAAAATGCTTGTACTTCAAAGGACACTATCAAAGTGAAAAGGCAACTCACAGAATTAGAGAAAATGTTTGCAAATAATATATCTGGTTGCATAAAGTAAAGGTGGTATACACCACGGAATACTATGCAGCCACAAAAATGAATGCAGTCATGTCCTGTGCAGCAATATGGAGGCAGCTAGAAGCCATTATCCTAAATTAACACAGAAACAGAAAATCAAATACTGCATGGTCTCACTTACAAGTAGGAGCTAAACATTGGGTACACACAGATGTAAAGACAGGAACAACAGACACTGGGGACTCTAAAAGAGAGAAGGGAGGCAAGGGGGCAAGGGTTAAAAAATTAATTATTGTGTGGTTTTTCACTACCCAATATTGGGTACTCTGTTCACTATTTGGGTGATGGGTTCAATAGAAGCCCCAACCTCAGCATCACACGACATATCCATGCAACAAACCTGCATATCTACCCCCGAATTTAAAATATAATAATAATAATATATCTGATATAGGTTTAGTATCCAGAATATATAAAGAGCTATTATAACTCAGAAATAAAAACACAAAAGAAAAATAATTTTAAAATCATCAAAAAATTTGAATAGACATTTATTGAAAGAAGATCTATAAATGGCCAATAGGCATATGAAAAGATACTCATCATTAGTCATTGGAGAAATGCAAATTAAAACTACAATAAGCTATCATTTCACATCCTCTAGGATGGCTGTAGTAAAAAACACAGAAAATAACAAGTGTCGGAAGGATGTGGAGAAACTGGAACCCTCACACATTGCTGGAAGGAATGTAAAATGGCATAGCTTCTGTGGAAAACAGCTTGGCAGTGTCTCAAAAAGTAAATCATAGAGTAGCCATATGACCCAGCAATTCTACTCCTATATAGCCAAGAGAATTGAAAACATATAGTCACACAAAAACTTGTACATGAATGTTCACAGCAGCATCATTTATGATAGCCAAAAAGTAGAAACAACCCACATATTCATTAATTGATGAATTGACAAAAATGTAGTGTATCCATACAATGAAATACTATTCAGCCGCAAAAAGAAATACAGTATAGACACATAATGCAATGTAGAGAAACCTGGAAAACATCATGCTAAGTGAGAGGAACCTGACTAAAGGGGCCACATCTTAAATGATTTCACTTACATGCAATGTCTTGAAATGGCAAACTTAGAATCAGAGAGTATATAAATGGCTGCTAGGCATAAGGGAAAGTGAGAAAGTGGAATGACCACAAATGTTTGTGGGTTTCTTCTGGGGATGATGAAAATGTTCTAGAATTAGATAATGGGGATGGTTGCCCAACTTTGTGAATACACTAAAAAATGCTAAATTGTATACTTAAAATATTGTGAATTGTATGGAATGGGAACTATACTTCAATAAAAAATACAGGTCTCCTTGTTCAAAATTATGAAGAATTTCAAGATGGCAAAAACAGAACATTACACCAAAAGCAGGATCTTTCCAAGTGCATGGCCCTGCATATCTGCACAGGTTGCACACCCATGAAGCCAGCTAGGAAGCTTTCACTAGCCTGTCAGTCAGAGTTGGTCCATCCTATGCTATACCCCAATAGCACTTACTTTATGCCTGATAAAAGAAAAACTTCAGCCGAATTAAATTGAAAGGAGTTTAATTGAGCAATGAACGATTCGTGAATTGGGCAGCCCCCAGAATCACAGCGGATTCACAACCACTCCAGCGCAGCCACACGGCGAAAGAAGATTTGTAGACAAAAAAAGGAAAAGATGTACAGAATTTGGAAGTGAGGTACAGAATGGCTAGATTGGTTACAGCTCAGTGTTTCCCTTACTTGAACAGTTTGAAGACTCAGCAGCATATGAACGGTTGAAGTACGGCGCTGGGATTGGCCAAGACTTAGCTATTGTTACAGGCACATACTCCTAAATCAGGTTTTCAATCTTGTCTACCTATTAAGCTACGTTACAGTTCATCCACAAGGACTCAAATACAGAAGTACAGAATCCTTCTCAGGCCATATTTAGTTCACTTTAACGTGCCTCTTATTAAGTGCTGAGATGCAGCACATACAAGATATTTACATTACGGATATGTGTTAAACATCTACCATGTTCCAAGCTCTGTTTTGGAGTTAGGAATATATCTGTAAACAAAGCAAAAATCCTGAGATATTTTATATGATGTCTGACGGTGAAGGGGGCTACAAAGAAAAATAAAGTATAAGGACATAGGGAATGGCAGAGTGGTTGAGTATCTATGGGGAGGTGATATTTGAGCGAGATATTCATGAATGAAGAAGTGGGCCCTGGAGAGGGCTCAGAGAGGGGAAATCTTAAGGTGGGAAAATGCTTTGTATGTTTCAAGCACATTAAGGAAGATATAGTGGGTAGCCTTTAGTAAACAGGAGGAGAATGCTGGAGAGGACGTGGAAGAGGTGGCCAGGGACTTCAGATTTTACCTGTGAGGGGAGGGGAAGTCATGGGAAATTTGGAGCAGAGGACTCACATAATCTCACTTCCACTCACACATTGAAAGGTTGGAAGGATAGAAGAAGAGATACTAATTAAGAGACTTTTTGACCCCGTCTCTACTAAACAACAACAAAAAAATTAGCCAGGCATGGTGGCGGACACCTGTAAGTCCCAGCTACTCGGGAGGCTGAGGCAGGAGAATGGCGTGAACCCGGGAGGCGGAGCCTGCACTGAGCTGAGATCGCGCCACTGCACTCCATCCTGGGTGACACAGCGAGACTCTGTCTCAAAAAAGAAAAAAAGAGACTTTTTGAGTAGTTCAGGTGAGATATTATGTTAACTTAGATTAGGGAGATAGAAATGGAGGGAGTGAGAAGCAGCTTCAGATTTATTTGGTCAGTAAAACTGACAGGTTTGTGGATGTGCTGGATGAATAATCCCAGAGGAAAAACAACAACAACAACACTCTTTTTAGTCTAAGCCGAAGGACAAATGGTAGTGCCATTTTCCAAGATGGTACCTGGAATGGTGGCCTATAAACTAGAAAGACAAGTTATCCACACCATTACAGATGCGCGTGCATGCACACACACACACTGTATACCTATATACACACATGCACAGTATGCAAAAGTGAAGAAGCGATAGGATAACTGACTAAACACTCCCATAAAAATGGCGAAGAGTGATGACTGCGGACTGGTCTATAGCAGTGATGAAATCTACCAGGCAGGCATTCTGAGGTTCCCTCTGCCCTGGCAGTGGAATAAATTCCTTTATTATTCTCTTAGTCAGCTATCAGGGATAAGCTCTTTCATCCATTGTTCTCTGTGTCTCCTGATTCTATGTTCTTGGAGGTCCTTCTTTGTCCGTATTTCTCTATAGTGAGATCTGATATGGGTATTGGAGAATTTGTCCTATTTTAGGACTGTAGGGCTTCCTCAGCTACTTCCTGCCTGTGCAAATTTGAGGACCCAAAGTTTGCTTTTGGGCTAATAGAAAAAAGATTTTTAAAGATCAAACTTGTGGTTTCTTTGGCAATGTAATTTTCTCAAAAACTTTAGTAAGCTTCTGATCTATTTACAGTCAATTCCATGTTCTGGGAACTTCACAAGAAGTACTTTCCTAGATATAATTCTCTGGTCTGATTTAATCTTTTGCTTTCTTGACATCATGTTTCTTTCTCTCTCTCTCTCACTCACTCGCTCTCTCTCTCTCTCTCTCTCTTTCTATGGCAAATAGATTGGCAACTGTATTGAAGGGTTCAGGCTTGGTGGAAAGGTCAGATTCCTAATCTCATCTTTGCCCCCAAACTGATTCTTAACATATTTTTTTTAATACAATGGATTTTAATTTTATTTTTATTTCCCTCCTACCTAGTCTAATTTCATTTCCATATCTACATACAAGCCACCCAACACTAATCTGGCATCACCTCTTTCATTTAGTGCCATGTTAAACATAACTAGCCACAACCCAAACATTACTAATATTGTTTTCCACCCTTTTCCAATAGAGCTATAGCACTGGAAGGCAATCACAGGTAGAAAATATACCAAATGTTTTGTTATTAAATAATACTTGTCTTCATCTTTCCAAGTCTCAAATATTAATTTCCTTACCTGTTTCTACTCCTGCTAAGTCAATATCACATATTTTAGAATAAATGGCGAGAAAGCCCACTACTGGAACCAATTTAAGTCAATGCCCAGTAGCACTGGAATTGCCACCTAATCATTAGCATTTGAAAATTTGGAAAAATATTCAGAAGAATATCATCATTTTAATTCTAAGTTCTTAGCGTTGAATTTGTAGCACATCTAAGCTCATTTGAACAAAATGATAAAGAAAAACCCTCACCCTCATGTTCTGCTGGGAATGTAAGAATACAGCACCCAGTACTTGCCTGAGGCCATTAAATGAACCATTAGACCACATTGTCTTTGAAACATAATTATTCCAGTTACAATACAGATTGTTCTCACATGTTTTCATCTTGGGAACATTAAAATAAAATTCCCAGGATTAGGGGAGTTATACTAAATACTACAAATGGATCACTGTCTCAGTTAATTTTCATAATAATCCATTATAAAGATGAAAAAAAACCTGAGGCTTAGGGAGATTTAAAAATCTTCCCCAAGTCTACACAGTGAAGAGTGACAAAGCAGGGTTTCTAACCAAGGTTCATTGGACTTAAGGACTAGGCTACTCTGATTTAAGAATACTTGAACTAAATTTTTGTAACTGGCCTGGAGTAAAGGAAATTAAATGATTAAAGAGGTTGAATCACTTACTCATGAATCACTAAAGTTATGACTCCATATGCTGGAAGTTTAACATGCAGAAAGTAAATACATACATATTAATATATACTGGGACTCTTCGGTATGTATGTGAAAAATAACATCATTTGACATTGGCAAACGTAATACACTTTATAAAGCTCTTCCATGTTACCTCATTTTCCCCTTGCAACTCTGTACATCAGTCAGGGCAATTATTATTATTTCCATTTGACAGTTGAGGCTCAGAGAAGTTATATGACTTGCCTAAGCTCACCAGCTAGTAAACAGCCGAGCTCTGACTGAAACCCGTTTCCTACTGCCAACTCCAGTGTTCCTTCCACTATTTTATATCGACACTGCTAATGCTATGTACAATTTTGTTTTGTAGCTTGTAATGCACTTTCAAATACACTACCCTACTGATCTCATTTGAGACTATTCCATTGTCCCCAGAAACACATCTCACAGGTGGCTTTAGCTCTCGCCTTGGAAGATAATGGCTGTGACTCAGGGGGAACAATTACCAACCTAGGGTAGATACAATATCTTTAAAGATTTTTTTTTTTACCATAAAAGAAATTTTCTACAGCTTGTATTTATAAAGACAAGTCCAGCATGTGTATTTAAATAGTTGTCAATTTTTACATTTGCTTTCTAAAAGAATAATGTAATTTTCACTTAATATCACACACATGCATAAATTCTTCACTGTTACAAAAAACAGGCTGAGTAGGTAAATAATCTTTCTCTATTATTAAGAATTATCTTCTATTAAGTATTATCTTCTGGAAAGACTTAGAAATGTATATGTAGAATAGATGATACATTACAATTTCAATTTTTCACAGCTAAATCAAATTTACATAAAATAACATATTTTGGGGGTTTAGTGTTTGTAATATTGTGGTATTTGATAGCAGAAACTCAGAGAGTCAAAGTGATTAGCCACTTGGATGTATAGACATTCATTCACAGTTTGACCTAGAACTCACTTTTTCTGGTTTCTGACCCCACTCTTCACATCCCTCATGGGGTATGTTATTTCTGGATGAAAAGTGTGGGGTGAAAGTTTTTAAAAATAAAGAATTCCCTGAGATCCAAGAGGCAAGTGTTTGGGTACCTGAATAAATTTGGCCAAGCCACTTTGACCTTCTAAGCATCAGGTGTACAGAAAAATCTACTTAAGGTAAATCATTCTTTATTTTATCAGAATAGTGTAGCTATTCCATGTAAAACAGATATCAACTGCTTATTTTGAATTGAATGAGCATGTGTTCACCCAGGTCCAAAATTGAGAATGGGGTCTCTAAGTATTTGTTGGTTGCAAAATAATCAAATTCTGGTACGGTAGCCTTTTATTTGCCATCTAGATTTTCTAACTTTCCATAGAAGAAAATCAGACATGCAAGTGGCTTTGCCCTGCCTATTTGGATCATTTCCACCCCATTCCAACTCAAGAATTTGATTGTTCAATACATTTAGATAATCCAGAGGAGACAGTATTTCCTCGCCTTTCACAGATCAGAAAGTAATGTGCCATGTATACTAATTTATGTTTTATTTAGTAAAAGTCTATTAGAAATAGCACTGGTTATTAGTACCACCCCCAATTTGATAACTTCCTTTGCCGGAGATTTGATGTTTAGAGTATCTAATGTAAAGATCAATGATAGGTTATTTGATGATTGGCGTTCCAGTACTAGCCAGGATTCTAACTAGCTATGTGATCACTATTCTTTATTTAAATAGTGATTAAAAGATGGGGCTGAACTTGCTTCTTTTCAGCTCTATCTATCTTTGAATATACAACAACACAAGAGGTCAGTACCTGAAGCTTCAAAAGAAAAAGATATATATAATCTATTTTATACTCCTTAAATTATTCCTAAGGTAACTTCTTGCTAAAAGATAACATACTTGCCCCATTTTCCAGGTGTCAAAATTTCCTTGCACCCAACTCTGCTGAAATTTCTATGGTCCTTAGTAGCAATTATAAATCTAGGATACATGAGCTGCTTTTGTTTGTGTTTTAATTCTGCTTATTCTGGTGGCATGCTCACATACTGTGCTGAGAGAAGATGAAATTTGCTGCTAATTACCAAGGTTTGTGCTTCTAAACATTGCTGGCCAGTAATTGACCTGTAGTGTCTAGAGTCAAGTACTAGCTAATAACTTTGTTGCTGTAGTGTTGAACTTTAATTATTTAAGTCAAAGGACAAGTATTAGAAGCCACACTGCCTGTTTCTGTAGTGTTGCAATTGCCAAGAATTGAAACTTAGAATTTGAAACAAAAAAGAGCCTGTTTAAGTGACTGACATCTGCCAGTGCATTTGCCCACCAGCATGCAAACACACAGCAAAGCCGGCAGAGGCCCTACGAAGTACACCTTGAGCTGTCATCATTGGAAAGTCTGGTTAAAGAGATTTGAGCTCTGTGCATTATTGAGGCATGAAAAATAATATTCTAACACATTAGAATATATAATTTCACTGAAATCTTCCTAAAGATCTTTATATAATTGTTACCAAATCCAACGTTTAAAAAACACATATGTATCTGTGATTTATTCTATTCAAAAATGTCTTAAAAGCCCAAATTTCACCACTATACAATTTATCCACGTAACTCAAAGCCACTTGTACTCCCAAAGCGATTGAAATTTAAAAAGAAAGAAAGAACATGTCTTTATACAGTCAAAATAGATCTCCCACTGTCATATTCTACTTATCTTTAGTTGTGTTACTTTTGGGTGGAAGAACCTCAAATTCCATATATTTCTGTAATTAGAGGTAGTCTCCTATTATCTTTGGGCAGTGTGAGAAGAGTTTTTGCCATTTTCTAAAGCACAGTTTCCTTTGGCCCAGTTGAAACTCCAGGGAGTTGTGACCCTGAAGGAAAGATAATCTCTGAAGAGACAATTGAGTATTTCTAGTTGAGGACAGCATGGTGTAAGAATGGGAAAGTATGAGAGTTCACAGTCAATTGATGATATCAGAGTGGAAGGAGGGACAGTAGAAGAGTTCACAATTTTGAGAGTCAGCTGAACTCCAGACACATACTATGCACAGGGAACACAAAAATAACAAATGCAGGGATAGGTCATGTCTATGGTTTGGAAGACTGATCATTGTTAAGATAAAAGCTCTTCTCTAATTTGTTCATGTATTTGTTATAATCCAAATCAAAATCCTGCAGGATCTTTTTGCAGAAATTAACAACCTAGTTATACAGTTTATATGAAAATGCAAAAGGCCTACAATAGCCAAAGCAATATTCATTAAGAAGAAAAAACTGGAAGATTTATACTGCCCCATATTTTACTACTAAGAATGACAGTAATTGAGATAGTGTGATATTAGCACAAGAATAGACAATAAGTAAATGAACAGAATACAGTGTCTAGAAATTGACTCACACATATTTGGACACTGAATTATGATGAAGATAATACTGCAGTACACAGGGGAAACAATGATCATTTAAATATAAGTACCGGATAAATGGAACATCCATGTCAAAATAGATGTATCTTGACCTTTACCTCACACCGTATAACTAAATCAACTCTAAATAGACTGCAGATTGTAATGTGATACGTAAAAAAACATAAAGCTTTTCAAAGAAAAAACAGGAGAAAATCTTCATAATGTTGGGATACGATAAGATTTCTTAAACATCACACAAAAGTGGTAACCATAAAGGGAAAAAAAGAATAAATCAGATTACATTAAAATTCAGATTTTTTTCTTTGACAGACACCAAGAGGATAATCAAAAGGCAAGGAAGAGTGAAAGGAGATAAATGCAATGCATATACCCGATAAAAACTCATATCCAGAATCTATAAAAAATTGTTACAAATTATTAAGAACAAAGATAATTCCAATAGAAAATGAGCATTTTACCACAAGAAGTCATGCAAATAGCCATTAAATATATGGGACAGTGTTCATCTTAATTAGGCATCAAAAGAGTACAATTTAAAACCACAATGTATTACCCCTACACACTCATCAGGATGGCTAAAATGAAAAAAAAAAATAGAAAAACGGAACTCTTGTAATCTTATGGGGGAATGCAAATTCATAGAACCATTTGGAAAACTGCTTGATGAGTATCTACTAAAGCTGAAGATATACACACTATAGATTCAGCAATTTTACTCTTAGGTACTCCTTCCAGAAAAGGTTGTACACATGTAGATAAAAAGGCATGTACAAGGAGGTAGGCAGCAACACTGTTTATAATAGCCCTGAATTGGAAATAAAAGTGTTTATCAAGGGTAGAATAAATACATACATTGAAGTGTATTCAGTTGGTACAAAACTCTACAATGAAAATTGTTGAACCACAACTATAGACAACAGTGAATAATGGCTGCAAAATAACATTGAGTGAAAGGTGCCAGATACAAATGAATACCTATTATATGATTCTATTCAGATAATTCTAAAAATATAAAAAAGAGGCAAAATGGATCTAAAGTGTTAAAAGTGAGTAGGGGCAGGCAGAGTGGCTTGTGCCTATAATCCCAGTGCTTTGGGAGGCTGAGGTGGGTGGATCACTTGAGGTCAGGAGTTTGAGACCAGTCTGGCCAGCGTGGTAAAACCCCGTCTCTACTAAAAATACAAAAATTAGCTGGACATGGTGGCACATGCCTGCCATCCCAGCTACTTGGGAAGCTGAGGCAGGAGAATCACTTGAACCTGGGACGTGGGGGTGACAGTGAGCCGAGATCACGCCACTGCACTCCAGCATGGGCAACAGAGTGAGACTCTGTCTCAAAAAAAAAAGAAAAAATTGAGTAGGTAAAGCTTGCATAGGAGTGTGTAGTGAATGCAACAGAGCAGGGAATAAGCTTCTGACATGTTTCCTGTTCTGTTTCTTGAGCTAGATGCTGAGTACATGTATGTGTTCAGTTTGTGAAAATGCATCAAATAGTACACTTATGATTTGTAGACATTTCTATATATGAGGTATATTTTCATAAGAAGTTTACTTAAATAATAAGTGTTTGTCCCATCCCCAAATATTCTCAGTTTAGTGGAAGCAGGCCCTCTCATAAGCATGTAACTATATTAATTCAGTGTATTATAATTCATCAAACATTTATAGGAGCCCCTAATCACATGCAGGGCTGTGGGTGCTGAGAATACCAAGATGAATAAAATAACGACACTGCTTACAGTCTGGTAAAAAAAAAAAAAAAAAGCAGGAGACTTATAAGCAGGTAATTTTAACATACTGTGTAAATCCAGAAGTAGGTGAATGCAAAAAGTACTAAACAGACTAAACGCTCTTTAGCTGACTTCCACTTAATCAACATGACTAGCTTGACCATGATTTTCCATTCTCCTTGCAAAATGCACTGACTGATATGCATAGCACACGAGATACTCCAGAGCAGTCAGCCTGTGAACCTCTACTTCCAGCAGCTGAATTGTATGCTTATCAATAGTCAGTTATATGTATGTCTATCAGCAGAGTTTCTTGCTCCACTTTAAAGAAACCAAAGCTGGTGGGGTGTGGTGGCTCACTCCTGTTAATCCCACACCTTAGGAGGCTGAGGCGGGCAGATCATCTGAGGTCAGGAGTTCAAGACCAGCCTGGCCATCACGGCGAAACCCTATCTCTATTAAACTACAAAAAAAAAAAAATAGCTGGGCGTGGTGGCAGGTGTCTGTAATCCCAGCTACTTGTGAGGCTGAGGCAGGAGAATCGCTTGAACTCGGGAGGCAGAGGTTGCAGTGAGCCAAGATCACACCACTGCACTCCAGCCTGGGAGACAGAGCAAGATTCTGTCTCAAAGAAAAAAAAAAAAAAAATGAGAAAAAGAAAAGAAACCAAAATTGGAAACCTCAGAGGCTATGTTCTGGTATTGTTTTTATAAGAAAGATTATTAATGGCTCAAAACATTGGTAACTAAATGTACATTTCAAGGTTTAAAGCTAAAATATAATATCTAACCAATATTTTTATTAGTTTATAATTACTAAGCCACGTGAAATGCTTTGGTAAGAGCATAAGCTCTGCTGTCATGCTGATTGACATTCAAATCGTCATTCATATATTCATTAGATATGTGATTCTGGAGAAGTTATTTAACCTTTTTGTGCCTCATTTTCTTCATTTTTAAAAGGGGATACTAACTGGGCCTTATATGATGGTTGCTGGATCTGAAGAACTTTGAAGTGTAACTGATACATGAAATGCATTCTCTTTGTCAGTATTAGTTATTAATATAGTAGGAATTCATCAAAAGGATAAAGCCTAGAAGGAACGGGGCAGAGAGACACAGTTAGTAGACAGGTGTAGAAGACTAAGAGCATGGGGCATTTAAAGAACCTTGAGCTGTTCTATAATATGTACTTGAAGTCAAGTGTTCTCGAGACTAAGAGATGAAAAGTTAATCTAGAAAGATGATTTTTAATTTACTTTTTAAAATTTCAATTTTTCCCAAAAAACAGTGAGTTCCATGAGTGCATTCACTATGTTTTCTTTTTCCCAAGGCTATGTAACCCCCACACTCTCCTAGCTCATATGCTAGTCCTTGGTCAGTGACCAGCCTCAGTCACCTTATCTGGATCTTCTTCCTCTTCCTGATTCTAACTGTCAGAGTACCTGAGGTTTCATCACTTTAAATAACAGCTATAGCTTGATTAATAACACTTTTTAATATAGTTACAGTCTCTTCTCTAAACTCCAGATTCTTATATCCATATAATGTATCATCTAAACTTAATACATTTTAGAGATGAAGGTGCTATTCATAATTATTCCAGGACTACAGACATAAATCAGCACTGTCCTGGGCAAAGGAGGACATATGAACACTACATATATTTAGCGACTTACTCAACATCTCCACTTAAATAGCCAGTAGGGATCTCAATTTTAACATGTCTCAAAACAACTATTGAGTTTCCAGACCTGAGCAACAGAACTGCATGTTGTCTGGAGATCCTGGACTTTGAATGAGATACTGTGCCTGGATGAGACTTGCTATTGTCTACTCTGAGTTCTAGGTGTAAGAAGGATAAGCCATAGAGTCAATCTCTATGGCAGAGATGACTAAGATCCCCAAACTATTTCCTCTTCTTCCTTTGCACAATGCTAGATGACATTTCCTTGCCTCCCTTAGAGACAGGAATTGCCACATGGCTGAGCTCTAGCTAAGGGAACATGAGCAGAAATAATGTGACATGTCCAGGTCTAGCCTACTACAAATTTTCTGCAAAACCCACTCTTTTGCTGTCAGCTAGAAGTGAAGCACCAGTACATCTAGGGGACAAAGAAGTCAGCAGAAGAGAGGCCCTGGGTCCCTGAATCACACAATGAAAGGCTGTCCACCAAACACTTGCTTTGAATTGTTATATAAATAAGAATTATAATGTTACCGTGTTACAATACTTAAATTTGGGGATAGGTTGATTTTAGTAGTGGTCATTTCTTTTTAAAAACAAACCTGATGAATTTTCTGTGAATTTTCAGTTTGACTTAGTCTTATTGTCATATAAACTTTTTTATAAAATTGAAGTGAAAAATAAAATTAAAATAATCTACACTTCTTGGCATACAAACCAGGTCTTTGCTTCCAGATTGTGCAAGAATACATAGTTACTCTAGGCACTTCCTTTTATATTTAAAAATGAAAATACAGTTTTAGGATTTAATGGATTATATGTAAGGACAAGAAACGTGGATAAAGTATTATCTTCTAATCCTTATTTTACTAAAGCCAAAATAAAGTAGCTGCTACAGCATATTTATTTAATTTCAAGCATTGCCTTAGAAAGTAGAGATTTCTGTAGATATTATTATCCTACCTCCTTGGATAGCTATGAAGGAAATGGTTGAAAGAGAACAAAATCAATAATTTTACAGCAGTAAGGCCCACCATGGATCAATTACTACAATCAATAACATACTAATCAATTTGCATGACTCACATTCCTCTTCTTTAGTTTCCTTCTGTTACTCTTCACTATATGAAAAGAGATATCTCTCCAGATTCTTTTATCTTGTTTGATATTAGCAGAAGCAAGAAACCTCTTTCCTCATCTATCAAGAACAACAACAGGGGAGTGTTTATTTGTTAAATGTATCTGATAACATAATAGACTGACAGAAATCTTCATTTCTAATGGGATGATATTATGTAGAATTAAAATCTATCTTACTGGTGGGCAAAGTTTATCTCCCATGCAAAGACACATATATCAAAAGCTGGTAGAGTAAAACCACAAAGGAATAATTTACAACTGGGTTGTATTTAACTACATTCCAAACACTTAGTATAGATGGAAGGTGGTAGCTATAGCATGTAGAACTCCTTTCTAACAAGACTATTTTCCACTGAATTTATTTTATTTGTAAAAAATAGCATTTGTAGGATATTGAAAATTATAATTGGCTACTTTAAAAAATACTAATCACAGACCAGGTGCAGTGGCTTACACCTGTAATCCCTGCACTTTGGGAGGCTGAGGCAGGAGGATCACTTGAGGTCAGGAGTTCAAGACCAGCCTGGCCAATATGGTGAAACCCCATCTCTACTAAAAATGCAAAAATTAGCTGGGCATGGTGGTGGGTGCCTATAATCCCAGCTACTTGGGAGGCTGAAGCTGGAGAATCTCTTGAACCTGGGAGGCAGAGGTTGCAGTGAGCCAAGATCGCGCCACTGCACTCCAGCCTGGGCAACAGAGGGAGACTCCGTCTAAAAAATAATAATAATAATAAATTAAAAAATAAATAAATAAAATTAAATTAAAAATTAAAAAAATACTAATCACATTGATGGGGAAGAAATGAAGGGAAAATGTCACTGAAGTTCAGTGTAGTTCTCTTCCTTTTGAAATACAACATTAATTAGTTAACTCTATGCTGCATGGATATAGCAAACTGTTGATGGTTTACACCTGGAATATAGGTATATAAACATACTACAATTTTCTACTAAAATTTGAACCTCACCTGAATTCATCTGCCTTTTGCAATATTTGCTTTAATCTTCAGAAGATATTTGTTGTACTAAGAATGAAAATGCTAATTATAATACTTGTAGGAATTTTGTTACCTGAACTTTATGAAATAGTTCTAAGAATGCCACCATTGCCACAGGTTTAGATGCGTTGCAAATATATTTTTTAAAAATAGCCCCCAAAAGAATAAGAGGAAAATAAAATGATCTCAGCTGTTTAAAATGGATTTTGAGGAATGATCACCAATGGCCTCCTTCCCTTTGGTTCTGCCCTACCACTGAACTAATCTAACAAAACTCTGATGCTAAATTATCCCTTCAACTGGCCTTCTTGAGTTACACATTCAGGCTGTTGAGCACACACCACTGAATGAGAAAATTCCTCAGCCACACACAAGGGCACATGTGATCGTGTAGAAACTCTAGCCATCAATAGGGCTTCCCATAAAATTTTCTTGTTCTTGGCCATAGGGCTTCCCATAAAATTTTCTTGTTCTTGGCCAACTCCTTCTTTTGCATCCTTCAGTGACTGTATCAATTAGTCAAAACTCTCTTCAAAATCCACACAGATCCCCACCTCTTACTATCAGCAGAAGGCATATCACGTTTATGCCTTCTGTATCAGGAAAACTGGGGCAAAGCAATCAGCTCTCTCAATTTCTTGCCTCTCCCATCTGTTCCCCTCTCCACCTATAGAATGAACACAACCGTGCTTCTTTTTCTCTTTCCTTTCCCTTGGAGGAAATAAAATTTTCTTCCTTCTGTTTAAAGCCAATCATTTTACTGTGGCTCCTTATCTGATTGTCTGAATCTGTCAAGACTTTTCTGCATCAGTTATATCCTTATATCATAAAGTAGCTTTAACTTCCTTTTTATTGGTATCACTTACCTCGGCTTTTAGCTCCTCTCTCCCATCCTGATAAAGGAAAAAAAAAAAACTCACAAAAGTCAAAACTCAATTGTTTCCTTTAAATTTGCAGCCACTTTAACTAATATCCTCTTCTCTATCCGAAATGATTTTGTGCTGAATATATTTACCCTATCCAGAGCTACTCCCCACCCTTCCCTACCTAGCCCTGTGCCCTGCAATCTTAGCCTGTATGACTATTTTGATGGGCTTACTTATTGCTTTGTTTTCAGTTGCGTGTGACCAATGGGAAGCACTAGAAGAAAATATAAGGTAGAAAGGAAAGTGAAGACCAGGGTCTTTATTATCCCAGCTCCTCCTAGAGATGTCTCCATGGGCTAACAATTTCCTTGTTAAGGATCACAGCTCCTGTCAGGCAACCCTCTTGATACGGTCTTGATACAGTTTCTCTCTTTCTGTCTCTCTCTCTTTCTCGTTGCCTCCCCTCCTCTCTTCTATTCTCTCTCATCTCTCTCTCTCCTTCTTCTTGTCCCCCTCCTTCTCTCTCTCTTCTCATCTCTTTAGGATAATAAATGATAGTGGTGTGCTATAATTAGCCCATGCATAGTTTACTATTACTTACATAGGAAAACCATAAGGACTGTCCATACTTTGTAAGTAAGCCTGTTTTTTAGCCAAGCCCAGATTACCCAAGCAGAATCTGCTGCTTCTTTCCTGCTGGGTCCCAGTCTGATACAATTATCTTGAAATAATAGTTTATATAATATAGTGATATGAACTGAATATGTCCTCTTCCCCCCAAATTCACATGTTGAAACCCTAATCCTCACTGTGATGGTATTTGAAGACGAATTAGTCCATGAGGGTAGAACCCTTATGATGGATTAGTGTCCCATCATGAAGAGACACGAGAGAGATTGCTTTCTCTCTCTGCCCTCTACCATATAAGGATACAATGAGATGACAGTCATCACAAACCAGGAAACAGGCTCTCACTAGACACCTGTTCTGCTGGTACCTTGATCTTAGACTTCTCAGCCTCTAGAACTGTGAGAAATATGTATTTGTTGTTTAAGCAACCCCCAGTATATGGCAATTTAGTACAGCAGCCCAAACGAAGACATATAGGTACTACTTTTACTCATGCTGTTTGGGCAGCAACCCACATAACTTAGCTTTTGTGCCACTATTCCCACATATAACTGTTTTCTTTCTCTCTGGTCACTATAATTCATTCCCACATAGACAAATCCAGTGGACACTCTGTGGCCCACAGTCCATAACTTAGTGGAGATCACCCCGCTGCATTTGACACTATTGGCCACTTTACTCTTCCAGTAAATCTCTTGGCAACCATGATATCTTCTTGTGCTTCCTTTATTGGCATTCATGGGCTCTCTATCATCCCTTCAAACACTGGTGCTCCCCATAGTTCAGTCCTTGACCCAATGCTCTTTTAACATTACGTTCTTTTCCCAAGTGAGGTTCTCCACTCTCAGGACATTTAACATACCCAACATGGTGCAGATCTCACTATCCAAATCTGTTAGACACAACCATCTATATATTCTACTGGCACTTCAAAGTCAGCATATCCAAGATAATTATGTGCCAAAATCATTATCCTAACTAATGATTATCCTCATACTGTGTGCTCTGACTTCCATTTCCCTCTTGGCCAATGGCTCAATATATTCAATCTGAAGTCTAAGCTATCCTATACGCCTCTCTCTTCCCCACCCCCCAACATATCTGCTTCCAGTGATGATTCATCGAAAATCACCCGTCATCATTCCACCAGAGAGAAATTTCCAAAATGAAAATCTGCCTATTCTATCCACTGCTTAAACCCCTTCAATGGCTCTAGTTTGAGCTGTTTCAAGGCACACGGGATGCTCTACTGCTGCTCTGACCCTTACCTCTATCCTCAGTTTTAGCAGCTGGAACTCTCATGCCTATGGTTTCTGTGCTATTGATAACAAACCACTTACAGTTTCTAGTTAAAGTCATAATATTTTATGCCTCCATGCCTTTTGAGGTCTGCATCTCTCCCTAAGATACCTTTGACCATGCTGTTTGACTTTGGCCAAGTGTTTCAGGGAAAGCACCATCATTTCTTTCCAGGAAGCCCCTCCTCTTGCCCCTATTTACCCAATCCCCACATACACTAGCATTATGCCTTCTCCACTAGCCTCCTGCTCATAAGTGTCCACAAATGGGCTCCTAGAACACCATATAATCTCTCAAAGAATTTAAAATTTTATATTGAAATTACCTATTAGCATCTCTCTCCTCCTCACCAAACTTTAAGTGCTCTAAGGCAGGGAACGTGACTTGGTCCTTTTTTCACAACTGCATAGCACAGTAACTTGAATCATAGCCAAAACTTAACATCAATTTTTATAATTAAAAGTAATTATTATTAATAATAAACCCTTGTTATGCTTTAACCTCAATGTCATCATTTAGAAATATATACGTTGAAACATTTCAAAAATCCATGAAAAAATTCGTATTCTGATATATTATAGGACAGTGCCAGTAAAGTCTTGCACTATGTACTCATTTGAAGTCAAGACAAGTGCAGACAAGTCCTTGGAGCAGGCAAGCCTAGATATATATGCCTTAAAATGGAGGAAGATGTCATATCTGTCTCCATGTGTTAGAGCTGATGTACAATCCTTATACCTGACACCCTATCAGAGCTCTTGCAGGAAATAAAGCTTAATGATATTCAGTTTGAAAGTGGGAGGAGGATTTTGTAGCACAAGAGTCAAAAGGAAGAGTAGATATAATCAAACCAATGTTGATGATATAAGGGGGTGACAAGAATGCTGAAGCTGTAGCTGTCATCAGGAAGGGACTCACTTGGGCTCAAGAGTGATAGTAGCCCTGGTTATAGGGCAAAGCAGGCAGTGGGGAACAGCAAGGCAAGGCTATTCAGGAACATGTGAGATACCCTAGAAACCCCTTGAACTGAACATATGGATTAGATGCCTGAGATTCTTCAATTTCACTGTTACTGTCTTCTTCACACAATACCTAAGCAAACATGGGCTTGTTATCATTCAGATAAGTACTGCTACTACTGGGATCAGGATAATAATTTTAACAACAAAAATAATCATATCTAGTACTTATTGGAATTTATAATAGGCGGTACTCCACCTTCAAAATACATCCACAATCCATCCACTTCTCACCGATACCACTCTGGCCAATGCCACTGTTATGAATCCTCCATAACAGTGTCCTCCAAATTGTGTCCTCCAACAAAGATACGTTGAAGTCCTGATACCCAGCATCTTCAATGTCACTTCATTTGGAGGTAAGGTCTTTACAGGGTTAATTGAGTTTACAAAAAAATGGTTATTAGGATGGACCCTAATCCAATATGACTGATGTCCTTTATAAAAAGAGACAGATAGGAACAGTGGGAAGATGACATGAAGACACATAGTGGGGAAATAGCCAGGTGGCTGGAGTGATCCCTCTACCAGCCCAGGAACTCAAAAGATTGCCAACAAACAACAGAAGCTAAAAGAGACAAGGAAGGATTCTTCTCTAGAGCTGTCAGAGAGACTATGGCCCTGCTGAAGTCTTGATTTCAGGCTTTAAGGCTCTAGATTTGTGAGTCGATAAATTGCTGTTTGTTTTGGTGCTTTGTTATGGCAGCCCTAGCTAACTCATGCAATTCCCAATGCTTGGGTTGTTGCAAGACTTTTCACTGGTCTCTTCTCCTATTCTACACTTCTGCATCATCTCCACCCCCACCTCTGTAATCTATTCTTGACATGTAAGATGAAAACAAGAGCAAACCTCTTAAACTGTAAGTTAGATCATATTACTCTTCTATTCAAAATCCTCCACTGGCTTCCTATCACATTCAGAGCAGAAATGAAAGTCCTTACTGACAGAGGAGGAGCATTGCTATCTTAGACAAGCCCCTCATTCTAAAGTTCACCTTAATAAAAAAAAAAAGCTGTCTAAATCCAAAGGGCATCAGCCTGATGGCTAAGGTCAGCATGACCATAAACCACAAATAACATCTCCAGACAGAAACATTCCAAACTCCACCCAGACAAAAGACATGCCGGCCCCAAGATAACCTCCCTCCAGCCAGGAAGATGCCAGCCTTGAGATAATGCCCCGCAGGCCGGAAAGATGTCTGCCCAAAGATAAACTTGCCTCCTCCCAGAGACATTCCAACCCCACCGTAAAACTTCTTCCTCACACAGAAACATTCCAAGCTTCTGTTAAGCCCCCTCACCCTAAAACCAATATATACTCTTAGTCTGTAAGAGAAAGCACTCCTGACCAAAATTGGCCAGAAGTCCGTCTCAGGTTTTATCTAAAGTAAACCTGTCTTTACTGCCGAGCCACAGTTCATGTTTCTTTTCTCTTTCTTTAACTCTTACGCTTACAGTGAATTCCAAGACTACACCTTTTGACCTTATATCCCACTGTTTACTCCTTTCTCACCACAGTACAGGCTAACTGGCTTCCATTCTGTCCTTCAAACATGCCAAGAAAACTTTTTTCTCTCAGGTCCTTTATAGTCATTATTTCCTCTGCTCATATCCCTTGGATATCCATAAGCCTTGCTCCTTATCTTCTTTAAGTCTTTGTTCAAGCAACAGTTTTTTAATGAGGTCTAATTATCCTACATACAATTGCAACCCTCCACAAATGCTTGAACCTTCTTTCCTGATTCATTTTCCTCCATTGCTCTCATTATCTTCAAATAGATTATACATTTTACTTATTTGTTTTTCTCCCAAACACAAATTTAATCTCAACAAGGACTTCATTTTTTGTTGGCTTTGTTTACTGATGCACCCTAAATACCTAGAACATATAGCATTTGGCACATGAAAGTGCACAAGGCATATCTATTGCATGAATAGGTTATATCTTGCACCTTAGAGGGAGCACAAAATAGTAGCAGAATGAATACTGACTACCACTGGAGTCATAATTCCTGGGTTCTATACCCATTGCCTCACTTACCTGGCATAAGTGGCCTTAGGTAAGTAGAGTCTCAGTCTGTTTATTCGTCTGTTAAAATGAGAAGAAATCCAGCCTACCTCACAGCATTCTCCTGAGGATCACCTTGGATGATGCATATAAAAGTGCATCTGAATCTCTACAGTGTTATATAAATATGAGCTATTTTAAAAATAAATCTACTCAGAGTTTTATAGAATGAAAGTGATTCTGTATATTAAGAGGTAAGTAATAAAACATGATATTCTTAATTATTGAGAAGTCAGGCTTCCTGAAAATAGGCTCTAAAAAAGAAAAAGTAAAAGAAATCCCAGTCGAGTACCACTTTAAAATGTCTAAAAACAGAAGCTATGAAATGCAACATTCATTATTAACAGCTATTACTTGCTAAGACTTACTAAAAATACTTTTATATATAACAAAATAGAGTAGTCTCTCCTTATCCACTGGGGACAATTCCAAGGCCCCCAGTGGATGCCCAAAACTGCAGACAGTCTGAACCATATACATTTTTCCTATACCCGCCTACCTATGATAAAGTTTAATTCATAAATTGGACACAGTAAGAGATTAAAAACAATTAATCATAACATAAAACAATTATAATAACACTCCGGCATCACCACTCTTGCACTTTGGGGCCATTATTAAATAAAATAAAGATCATTTGAACACAAGCACTGTGATACCATGACAGTCAATCTGATGACTGAGACGGCTACTAAATGGCTAATGTGCAGACAGTGTACACAGTAGGTATATGCCAGATGAAGAGATGATTCCTATCCTCAGTGGGATGGAGCTGGACTGCTTCAGATTTCATCACTTCTCAGAACAACCCACAATTTAAAACATACAAAATGTTTTTTTTCTAGAATTTTACATTTAACATTTTCAGATTGCAGTTGACTGTGGGTAGCTGAAACCACAGAAAGGGAAACTGCAGATAAGGGAGGACAACCGAATTCGAAAGAACTCAGTGCAGTTAAGCTTTCTGGGTGCCTCAAAGAGCTCATTATGAGTGAATGAGACTCAATATTACTGGCTGAAAGTGTATCATCTCATATAAATAATAACAAAACATTTTAAAATGTCATACAATGATTTCTTTAATTTACCTTGACCATTATGATTTACATATGCTAATAAACTGCCAAGTAAGGATTCCATGGATAATATGTAGTTTGTGTTTATATCGCTATCAGATCCTACAATCATACTTAGGGCATCTGATATCAACTCGATATTCATCAAACAGTTAAACAAGAAGCATTTCCTTAAGTACCATCAGGCACTGTGCCTAATGGAGGGTGCAGTGATTAATAAAACATGTCTCTTGTTTATAGCAGTTCGCAATCCAGTTAGAAATATACAGTCATATGCCTCAATACAAATTAGACTTTAAAAGGGCCCTTAATAAAAGGAATGCACATAGAAAGAGCATTATGGAGAAGCAAAAGATGAATTCTGAATGAGGAAATCTGGAAGTCTTTAGAGATGGTGTTACTTTAGCTGGGTCTTAAAGGACTTCAACAGGCAGAGAAAGGGGGAGGATGTAAGGGCATTCCAGACAGAGGGAATAAATTGGACAGGAGAAGTAAAGGGTTCAAGAAGAACTTAGATTTGTGGTAACTTTACCTATAATTAGATTTTAAGGTACAATATGAATATTTAAGGATCATCCCAAATATGTGAACATTAAAAATGTCAACAGTTAACATTCACTCCAATACAAATCATGCTGCCATGCCATATTCAAAGACAGTGGTATTTGGCACTTCTTATGAATTAAATCAAAATCAGTGTTAAATCACTTCTAGAGTCACACACTTTTTTGGAATCTGATAAAACTTTCAAAGCCTCTCTTAAAAGGACCCATTGTCCAATATGTGAAAATATTTAGATCTTATTTAAAAAGTTCAGTAGATTTATTTGAAGCCTACAGTTGGCTAAGGCTCTGTAGGCTAACAACCTACAGTCAAAATGACTACGCTATTTATGCGAGAAATTTTTTTTTCTTTTTTTGTGTGTTAGAGTATGTAGGCATTTTTAGAGAAGAAATTTTGAGGGCAATGCTACAGTAACATTTGAGTCATTTGAAAAACAAGAGATTATTGGTCAACATACTGGAGAATATCTAAGTTGTCTACAGAACATCAACAAATACTTTTGATATGGAGTTCAGTGACCCATCGAAACTATAAATCTCAAAGGCCTCCCAGCTTCAATCATGGTACTGTTGTACAGACCAAAACACTTGTACAAGAAAGCCCTACACAAACATTACATGCGGGCAAAAATTTATGTTCCCAGAGCTATGGCAGGGATTTGGAGTGTTACTCTTTGTCATATAAACCTGCAGGGTGCTTGAAGAACTGAAGGGAAAGTTTGCTGCATATCTCAAGGATGCCAGTAGAACATTATCTTTGATTTACAGTCGCCTTTTAATGGTATTTTATAGCTAGGCAATCAACATAAAACACAATGAAATGTAAACCTTTCAGCAAAGTAAGATGATGATTTTGGAGGGTAGGGAAATGTTTTAACATCTGAAGCAGCACTGTTAAGAATCTTTCCTCTCGACAGACAAACATAGACCATATAAATAGTTAAGCTGCTTTTCCTTCCCAGAATTCACACATTTAAACAGGTCAGGTCTGGTTAAACCAACAGAAGAAAAACAAAGGTCAAGTAGGAGTCCCTCTGTGATAGACTCATTATAGGAAGGAATAAGATATCAATGAATGTTTGTTAAACAATCATGTGAACACAATATACGGATGATGTGTATGTGGGTATTTGTGAGGGTATATTTGATTATAGAAAGATACTCTTCTTGTCATTATATGTCATCTTTTCGGTGTCCATCTTTGTTGAGTGTGTGTGCACACGCACACTTGTCTAATCTCAGGAGCTAAACAAGTGACAATCACTTCTCTGGCCTAGGTTGTCAGACAGAGGTGGCCTCATTCTAGCTATAATTTAGCCACTATTGCCCTCCTCCTGCTGTCCAGCCCCTGCCCCATTTTGCTCTCCTGCTGATTTTCTAACATTACACCTAAGCTTGCCCTTTCTTTTCACGGCACTCCGAAAAACTTCCTGAGCCATGAAGCTAGTTCAGAGAAAAACATGATATTTAAGAGACATAAGCCCAAAAGGATAACATCCCTATATTTCAACCTCATTCTGATTTTTTCCTTTATTTTTATTAAGCTTATCTTTCCATTCATATATTTTGATGAGCTACACATAAAAGATATTTAACATGGAGGTAGAAATGCAGGTTAGTGAACTCTGCATTGCACAGCTGATTATTCAGTGTCAAGAAATCACTTTTGGATAGTACTTAGTAAGAACAGAATTAATAACCACTAACATGCAAAGTCTTCTCCCTGTCTCTTTAGAGCAATACAAACTGATTAGCTTCGAGCAGCAATTTAAAATAAAGAACTCATTGGAAGCTTCTAACAGTTTCATTTCCAGCTTCCATTATTTAGTTAACTAAACTTACTTTGCTAATTTTCAGAAATGTCTTATTTTTAAGTAGAAGTCACAAACATGTGCCTTGATTTATTCTGAGTATGAAACAAAAGCAAAAATGCTTATTAATGTAAAAGATATCCCTCTCACATTTCTAAGGGCAGCATTACAATTTCAAACTATAATGACTGCTATGTAAAGAAGACTCATAATGGAGTTTTCCCAGAAAAACAAACAAGCATACTGATAAATTAAGCGGCTTGCACGTATTCCTTAAGAACTTTGCAAGGTGTTTGATGTTTCTAATGAAGGAGATTAAAAAGACGATACTATATTTTCAGATAAGGGGATAATTGGCAATACAAGGGTCTACTTAATCAATAGGCTGGTTTAGACTGGAAGAAGTCATGTTAAGGGAAATCTCGTGATATTGCAGGTAGAGTAACTTCTAACTCTGTGATACAGACTGCCTGTGGTTGCAACCTACCTGCACACCTAGTAGCACACTTTTAATAAACCGAATATACCAAACCAACTGTGAATCAAAATCAATAAATTATCCAGATTTTAGATTGTAAAAGGTGTTGCATCTTTACTGGGATCTTGCAGTGGCTGACGTTTGGTCCCCTCCCCCAACCCAATGATAACATAAAGCATGGAAAGGAGAATCAACCCTTATGAGTGATATTTGCAGCTTACTTAGGATGAACTTTTTAAAGTTTATTGCCACAGAGAGAGAAAGAGTGAGGAAGAAATTTTGGCTAGTAAAAGTTGATATTATTTTCTATAAATTTCCTACCTATGTAATCATTCTTTCCTGAAAATACACAGTAATGGTTTTGTTTCCTGCTTTTATTTTACGGTAGCCTCTACATTTGTGTTTTAAAATAAATCTCTGCAAAGAAAGAATAGCATTAGTGTTTTAAATGAAAAGCATTATAAATTGTTAGTTCTGCCAAAATTGCCCATGAGTTTTCTGTATCTAAAGACAATGTAATATAAGAAAAGATTACTGGTATCAAAGTAAAACCCTGTGGTTTAAATTCTGTTTCTGCTGCTTATCAGGGTTACAATCTTGATGATCCACTTAGCCTCTGTGAATCTCAGGTTTTTGGCTATAAAATTGAACAGTAATATCTTCCTCAAAGGCCTGGAAGGAGGAAATGAAATATCATCTGGAAACTGGTGGCATGAGGAGAGTACAACATATTTTAGAAGCTTCGGATAACTAACGTCCTAAGTAGCAAAAAAGAATAGAGTGCTCTATGCAGCATATGGTTCCACTTATTTTAGATTTTTTACAGATCTTAGTTTCTCTTAGGTTTTATTATTAGACTTCTTTAATAAAAACAAATTAACATAATTAAATTTTAATAGGTAAAAATCCTAAATAAGGCATGAATAAAAATAATTCAGTTAAACTTTCATAACAACCAAAAGCAAAACAAAACCAAAAGATTTCATAGATTGATTCTATGTCGATACCCCCAGGTGATTCTTGTGTACAGCTTTGGAATCACTGACCTAGAACAGAGGTTTTCAATCCTGGCGCACATTAGAATTACCCAGAGAACTTAGAAAAAGAGATATCTATATACCCTGTCCCAAACTAATTTAAATTAGAATCTCTAGGGCTGAGGCCCATTGTATTTTATTCAAAGTTCCCCAGGTGAGTCTAAACTACAGCCTTAGTGGAAAACCATCGCTTTAAACACGTCTTTAACATCATATACATTTATTTACACTTCTAAAGATTATACAATCTCCAGTGATAAAATTCCAGGCAAAGTGATTATGACATGAAGGACTGCAGGCAACATGGAGGAGATGCCATGGCGCCATTAATTTGGCAGAAGGCCCTTAGATCAAACTATAGAGAAAAGTTAGGATCATGGACTACCTACATCAGAATCCCTTGGAAAGCTTATTCAAGTTGCAGGTTTCTGGGCCTCACTTCAGAGATACTGAATCGTAGTGACCTGGTACCGGGGCTTAGGATTCACTCTGCATGATTCATGTACACAGCAGTTGGAAAGCCACTGCCCCAAAAGCAACTGCCTTCCCTTAAAATAGTACAGAAGATGATGACCAGTTTTGGTCCCTCTCTATTCCCCATGGAGAAGAGACAGAGAAAATGGCTCAACTACAAGTGAGTTTTCCCGTCATTTTGCCTGGCATTTTACCCCTGGAGATTGTGTAATATTTAGAAGTGCAAATAAATGTGTGTGATATTAAAGATACATGTATAAAGCGATGGTTTTCCGCTAAGACTCTAGTTTAGACTCACCTGGGGAGCTGTGAATAAAAGTATAATGGGCCTCACCCCTAGAGATTCTAATTTAAATTAGTTTGGGACAGGGTATATAGATATCTCTTTTTCTAAGTTCCCTGGGTAATTCTAATGTGCAGCCAGGGTTGAAAACCACTGTTCTAGGTCAGTGATTCCAAAGCTGTGCACAAGAATCACCTGGGGGTATCGACGTAGAATAAATCTATGAAATCTTTTGGTTTTGTTTTGCTTTTGGTTGTTATGAAAGTTTAACTGAATTATTTTTATTCTTGCCTTATTTAGGATTTTTACCTATTAAAATTTAATTATGTTAACTTGTTTTTATTAAAGAAGTCTAACAACAGAACTGAAAAGAAATTAAGATCTTTAAAAAATCTAATACGGGAAAGCATTTCCTGCCTCATTTGTGTAGGTAAAGGTCAGAAATCTGCATCAAAACATAAACTCTCTTTTATATACAAACCCCCTGCTGGGCCTCACAGCTGAGGCCAGCAAGGTCCTTTACCACCATATTCACTGTGTTGCCTATATCCACAAAGTGTCATATCTCTGGATCTGTTCTACCCGACTCCACCCCCAATCTGGGCAGTTTCATTCTCTAGGGACTGTGGAAGTCCCAGAAATTTGCTGAATGACAAGAAAGCTCTCTTAGCAAGGAAATGAAAAAGAAAGCTCTCTTAGCAAGGAAGAGAAAGCTGGTTCCTTAAATAAAGGAACAAGAAATAAACAGCCAAGTTTTTGAAACTACCATTCAAAGATTTACCTCTATTTTAATTGCTTTATCATCTATCAGCTTTGAACTCTTACAACTTCAGGGAACTAAAGAGAAAAGTAAGAGTATTGAAAGGCTTTATTAGTAAAGACAATCCTGCTTATTAACTTCAGATTTGTATGACTACTGATATTTTAAAAATACCTTTGCTATCACCTCACCTACTTCACCCAATAATTCCTTGAGCTCTACGGGATGTATTATATATAAGAGAAAAATTAATAAACTTTTCAAAGACTTTAGTTCCAGGACTACTACTTTGTCACTTAATATTGAGGGATTATAGCACATTATCTAACTCCTCAGGTTCTTGGATTTTTCATTTATAAAATGGAGACAATGTTATATTCTCTGAAGGACATGTAAGATACTGCATTTTAAACAGATTTCTAAACTGTAAGAGCTTCAGAAGTGTCAGATATTATAATTATTCTCATTTAAAAACGACCAAATTGAAGCACAAGAGATTAAGGTGGGCACTCAAATTAAGAGTTACTTCCATCATATCAGTTATTTCCATACCATCATAGTCTCAAAATACTGCTCAATGGACTTTCTGACAACAAATCAAATGTAAAAACATTGAGCACCTATTATGATTTGGGATACTAAATAAAGACAAAAAGAACTGTTCATATCTTGAGCATGAATTACGAAGAGAAGTATAACCACATAAGTTTGCATATTATAGATTCGTAAGTAGATAAACTAAATGAAAATGGAGTGTCTCAGCACCTGACACCACATTTCACACTACGGTCAGAAACCATGATTGTTCATTCACCAAACCGATCATTCAGAGGGTTCTGGGAAAACCTCTTCTGACTTGAAATAGCTAAAACAGCAGGAATTTTTTTACACACCACATGCCTCTTTCTAAGGGTTTGAAAAATCAGAATCCTTGGGAAAAAATCAAGTTAAATATCATAGTTTTCAGAATACCTTCCAATCTGAAGGACTGTCTGGCATGAGGAGGAGTGAAGGGAGAAAGAAGGAAGTTGGGAGAAATAACCAGGGAGATTATAAAGGGTACATCCAGACTGCAATTCAGACGGTGCCCTCTACATTTTGCTTTGACCTGGAGTCTAGCAGAGGATGCTCTTGACCACCTCATTTCCTGCAGGATCCTGACACTGCACAAATTGCCAGCAAGAGTGAAGGTCAACTCTCCAGGCTTTTAACGCACAAAAGTTATCTTGTGCAGCAAATAAATTCATGGCTGGTTACTCAGTTTGCTTGTGTAGATCAGAAGCTCATGAAGCAGAAAATCTCTGAAAGTCATTAGACCCCTATGGTCAGGCCTGTGTTATCCTAAACATAGTGGCAGCCATGTCAATTCCATACACTAGCACACTGTCCTCTAACAATGAGAGGTTATCATCCTAGAAAAGAAAACCTTAAACTAAATCAGTATTAAGTGGAGTCTAACTTTCAACAAAAACTGGAATTTGTCAGAATAACATGGTATGAAATGTTCAAAAACACTAAATTTATCAACTCTGTCAACAAGTATAATATAGACAGAAACTTTCACAGAGCCAATCACATATATTTTATTCAATTTTCTTTAAACAATCCCTGGAATAAGGACTTTGGTCAGAAGCCAGGGCCAGAGAGACTCCAAACATCATGTCTGTAAGGGGTTGGGAAAGGAGTGACCTCTCTGGTTGGTGAGGTTGGAAGAATAAACAGCCTAGCCACTTCCTCTCCCCTTTTGAAGCCATCCTGCCTGGAGGGATGATGCATTCCATTGCAACTGTCTAATGAGGAGTTATTCAGCCATACCTGTGCCTGCATGGTAAGTTTGCCTAATTCAGGGCTAAAATATCAGGAGGACCACTTGATACAGCCCTGAAACCATCTCCACTAATCAGCTTTCTCAGTAATAACAGTCACATTTTGATATTTCGATTGGTTCCTGTGACATGGACATAAGGATTCTGTATCTTGGACCCTTCAAGCCCTACAGCTTCCTAAAGGATGTCAGGCAGAGTCAACAGAAGAGCGGGTTTCTGAGCACCACAAAGCTGTGTGGAGAACAAAATGGGGGAAGTGGCGACAGAGGCAAGACTAGAAGTTTCTAGGAAGTGGGAGAAAAGAAGTGTGAATTCATCAAATGGAAATTTTACAATTTTCTCACGACCTGGCTCTGCCACACACTTTCATGGCATTCACTTCTCTTCAACAAATTAAACAATTCTAGCCTCTTTCACCTTTTCCTAGAAATATTATTTATGTTAGAGGAATATAAATCCATGTAATATCTGTATTTGGTCCTCTTGCAAATACAAGGCATGCAAATGTTGATTCACCAACCTGCCAAATATATTCAAAACATTACAGTACAAAATACTACTCTAGATGCTATGATTACATTATTCACATGCTTTGCCCTCAAGTTGCACACCAAAAATAAAAAGAACAATGCACAAAAAAGAATTATAATAAAACATTTAATTAACAAGCTCAAGAAACTACTTCTCTAAGTTTGCTGAAGCTTTGAGGCAAAAATACCTCGTGCCCAGATGGCACAGGTGCCAATCAGGGGGCACTTTAGGGCTGTTTCCATTAGCAGGCCAGCCATCTATCCTGGAAAGAATATCACTGAGCTCTGTTTTCGGCTGGTGACTTTCTCTAATTCATGAGCTGCTCTTTTAAAATGACAGTTCTCTCTTCCTGTGTTTCTTTTAATTAATAACCCTGTGGAGTATTTTTCATTAAAAATGAATTTTACCTTTACTATGAAATGTCAAACATGAATAAAATGAGCAACTTTTCTTGAACGGAATATTATTTTAAAAAGGTATCAGTTCACCTTTTCCTTGACAAGTCTGACTAGTGGAATGAGCTTGTTCAAGCAATATTTCTCTTTCTTCCCCTATCAGTGGCCTCTCTTTATTATGTTCTTTCACAAACAGATAAATTGAAGCAAATAGTGTTTTTAGAAAAATTAAACTTCAAACACGCTATCATGTTAAGATCAAAATTTTATGAAATCAAAATGTAGTTGCCTTCTACTTCTAAAAGTGCAATTCAAATTTAGTTTGAGGCTGTAAATAAAAAAGCAAACTCAGGCCGGACGCGGCGGCTCATGCCTGTAATCCCAGCACTTCGGGAACCCGAGGCGGGTGGATCACCTGAGGTCAGGAGTTCAAGACCAGCCTGGCCAACATGGTGAAGACCCATCTCTACTAAAAATACAAAAAATCAGCTGGGCGTGGTGGTGCCCACCTGTAATCCCAGCTACTCAGGAGGCCAAGGCAGAAGAATCGCTTGAATTCGGTAGGTAGAGATTGCAGTGAGCTGAGATTGTGCCATTGCACTCCAGCCTGGGCAACAAGAGTGAAACTTTGTCTCAAAAGAAAAAAAAAAAAGCAAACTCAGCTCTTAATTTACAAAATTACTGGGTTAATACTAAGCACAGATTGGCAAAGCTCTTTGCCATTTTTCCCAATGCTTCCCCTGAGTGTCTCCCATTAACTGGAACATATTTGTATAATAACTCTATTTCTATAGCCACAAAGGCATGGTTATAAGGACAGTATCTCAGCAGATAGCAGGGTTCTCAGCCAAATGATAGATATAATTCAGGATGAGCTTAGAACCTGTAGTTAAAGTGCAAGCTTTAGGTCAAGTTAAATCAACTAATGCTAATCTCAGCACATGCAGCAAAACAGTACAGAAGTCTGTTCGTTAACCTAAATTAGAGAAACGCAATTCATGAACTAAAAGTGCCAAGACCCTGACTTAACATCACAACCCCTACCTGTTCACTTAAGATGTATCATTAGCCAAATAATTTAACAAATGTTAGGGAACACAGTTAAGATACTACTCATAACAGAGGTTATGCTGACTGTGTGGAGTTTTTAGAAAATTGGAATTAGATACTGTTTTGTGTTAATAGGAGAAAAAAAGGCATTTCCTTTGGGAAGACTCAGTATTATCTTAGGCAAGTGTAGAAGTGTTTATTTCTGCAATTTCAAGCACACTGCATTGCTGTATATGAAATTCCTTGCCACTAAACGTTATACTTAGCTTATAAGAGGGTGATTCTGGTTACAGGAAAGGGGTCCCGATCCAGACCCCAAGAGAGGGTTCTTTGATCTTGCACCAGAAAGAATTCAGGGTGAGTCCACAGTGCTAAGCAAAAGCAAGTTTATTAAGAAGTAAAGTGGTGAAAGGACAGCTACTCCATAGACAGAGTAGGACGTTCCTGAAAGTAAAAGGAGGCACGCATCCACCCTAGGTACAATGCTGGTATATATGGGGAGATATAGTCTGCTACAAGGGTTTGTGATAGAGGATTAATTTTCCTAATTACTATATTTTGCAAGAATCGATATTATTATCTTCAAAGCAAAATTAGGAATGTCTTTCTTCTTCAGATATCGGGATATCTGGACACTCCCAAGTCGGGGTCTGTTTAGTAAACATTATTAATTTGTTCCCTTAACTGTGAACATCTAGAGGCTCGGAATGCCTACCTTTCTGAAGATGCAGCCCAGCAAGTCATGGCCCCATTTTCCCAGCCCTTATTCAAGATGGAGTCGCTCTGGTTCGAATGCCCCTGACATATCTCCCTGCTTCCTTTACAAGAGGACCTTAATCCTAAGGGTTGCAGAGGGATGAAGATCCGTCTTCTGTAACTTCTTCAGGCTGAATAGGGGTGATGATATTCCTGCCTAACTATGGTGTCTTGCATTTAGGGTAGAGAGGAGCTCAGTCAGAGAGCGTTGGTATGGCGAAGGTCGTTCATAACTGCGAGTTCCGACAAAAAAAATCTTCCAATATCTGGAAGATTAATAAGTGTCCAATTTAAGAAAGTGTTGAATGAACTTGTCTTGTATTCCTGCACAAAGAGTACAACTGCAATATATCCCACAAAAGCAAAGTAAAATAAGTAAAATCATTCCCAAGTAAACTAAACAGAAAGGCTTTCCAAGAACTGGGCAGCTGTTGGAACCAAGCCGATATAGGGTCAACCAAGCCGATAGCGTATCAATGGCAGAAATATGAGTGTCTAAAGCTTTCATAGCTTGGGTGATATTATTTGAATAGTCTGGAACATACACACAGCACTCGGCTTTGATCAAAGCACAAGTTCTCCCTCAAGCTGCTGTTAAAATGTCCACATACCCAACAGTTTGGTTATGTAGAGAGGCTAAAGTCTGTGCCCACTCAGTAAATAAGTTACTCTCTGCCTGATTCCAACTTATATTCCAAAGTAGAATGCCAATCCATATCTTTAGGTTACCCATCCCTTTCATTTCTTCTGAACAGGAGTCGAAGGTCACTGATTGGCTCACAGGAATAAACAAGATCAGTCTCTTGTGTTCCATTGGCCTGTGGGACTTCATAAGAAATGAGTTTAATTCCAGATAAGCAGACCCACCTGTTTATTCCCAGAAGTTTAATGGCAATTGGGGTACTAAGGAGAACTTGATAGGGTCACCTCCATTTTGAGGAAAGTTGACCTGCTGGGGATCCTTCCTTCCAAGTTTTTAATAGGACCCAGTCTCCCAGCTGTGTTGTAACAAGATTCTCTTCCTTAGGAGGGGAAGGGAGTCTTTGATTTCCATATTCAAGAAGTGTGTTTTGCACTTGTCCCAAGTTGATCACATAACTCTGTAGCTTGAAAGTATCTATGTCTATTAGGAGGTCTGTAGTTAAGAAAGGACTTTCATCCATTATTTCAAAAGGGCTGAGCTGCAGATTTCCCTTAGGGGCCACTCGAACCCTTAATAAGGCTACAGGTAATAAAGACAGCCAGGTTTCTGATGTCTCTTGGCACCGTTTAGCAAGAGTCCTCTTTAGAGTTTGATTGGCTCTTTCCACTTTCCCCAAGACTGTGACCTCCATGCCAAGGGAAGGCGGTCCTGAATTCCTAAGGCTGAAGATATGTTTTGGGTAATTGTCGCTGTGAAAGATGGGCCATTATTGTTCTGTAAGCGCTTAGGCAGCCCAAATTTAGGAATTATTTCCTTTAGTAGCTTAGAAACCTCAATTGCCTTTTCAGACCAGGTAGGAAAAGCCTTGATCCAACCCCAACTGGTAAAGGTGTCAATGAACACTAATAAATATGTAAATATTTTACATGGGGGCATCTGGGTATAGTCTGTTTGCCAATCTTCACCAGGGTATGCTCCCCTGTGCTGAACAGGCCTTACTAGAGGAGGAGGTGAAGACTGGTTATTTGGGTTATTCCAGGCACATAGTTCACAGGCCCTAGTTACCGGCTTTACTGTTTTAAGTAAGCCTTTACGTATAAAAAGCTTTTTTCCTATAAAAAGACATTAAGTGAAACAGGGAAGCTCTTCCCAAATGAGTAGAGTCATGCAACTACTTAACTGTTTTCCACTGATTAGCACCTGATATTAACAGTTTGCTGTCATTGACAAGCCAGCCAGAAAGCTCTTGAATTAAGCCCTGACCTTTAGCCCATTCTTGTTCCTCTTCAGTATATCTAGGGTCTGTCATTGCCGTGGCTGAGGGTACAAACCTGCCGACAAGTCCAACTGGCTCCTTTAATGCTGCTGCCTTAGCAGCTGTATCTGCAAAGGAGTCTCCCTTAGCCACATTAGAGTCTCCTTTTTGACGTCCTCTGCAATGGATTACAGCTACTTCCTTGGGCAGCAAAACAGCATCTAATAGATTTAGAATTTCTAAGTGATGTTTTACAGGAGAACCCTTAGCAGCTCAGAGTCCCTGTTCCTTCTAGATAGCAGCAAGAGCATGAAGTACCAGAAAGGCATACTTAGAATCAGTGTAAATGTTAACTCTTAAATCTTTTCTTAATTGCAGGGCTCTAATAAGAGCTATTAATTCTGCCTTTTGAGCTGAGGTAGAAGCTGGTAAGGCCTGAGATTCAATTACCTCATGTTAACTGACAACAGCATACCCAGCTTTCCTGTTTCCCTGGTGCACAAAGCTACTTCTATCTGTAAACCATTCTACCTCAGGATTATCTAGAGGCTCATCCTTTAAATCCAGACGGCTGGAGTAAACTTGCTCCATAACTTGTATATAAGAATGATCTAGGGTGCCTGTGGGTTTAGGCAAATAGGTAGCTGGATTCAAAGTTTGGCATACTTTAAGTGTTATATAAGGAGCATCTAGCAACAAAGCCTGATATTTATTCACAGAAAAAGAGAAGGAGCAATTTCTGTCTGTTGAGATTTCCAAAAGATACTACTGTCTGCAGCTAACAAATCCCTTCCTAACAAGGGGTGGGCCATTCAAGAGAAAACCAAAGTCCTTGAAGAGCAGCTTAAAGGATAGGTAAAATGACATCTATGGGCTTTTCCATCTATTCCCCTGACCATACAGTTTTGGGGTAAGAGAGGCCCATTATAATGGGTCAAAACAGAATAAGCACTCCAGAAGGAGGTTAATATTCTTACCTGCCATGTCATTGGTTACCCAAGGCTCCTCTAGAGATATGCCTAGTTGTCCAATGGGAGCTGTGGTGGAAGATCTCAGGCCCCATCACTCTTGGACTTGCCTGGCTATTTCGGCCATCATTGGTTCAGATGCCAGTAGCTCCCTTCTAAGCACTGGGCAATCCCTCTTCCATGGCCAGTTTTCTAACAGTGTGCCCAAGGCATGAATTTCTTATAATTCATGCCCAAGGCATGGTGACTCAGACACCCAGATTTGGCTTTCCCACCTTTCAGCTTCCCTTGTTCAGGCCAAGAGCCAGGAGGGCAGCCCCATGTGGGGGATGAGCTTAAGGATAGAGCCAAGAGCTGCACCTTGTGGGAAGTCCTTCTTGTTCTTTCTGCCTCCTCTGCTTTGTCCCTGTTATTAAAAACTAAAATGCCATATACAAGAGCTGTTCCATAGAAGTATGGGGACCCATAGCTGCTTTTTATAGCTTCCTATGGATATCAGGGGAAGACTGGGTTATAAAATGTACTCCCAAAAGGGTCTGTCCTTCTCTTGAGGTAGGATCAGTGTTAGTATATTTCCTGATGGCCTCAACTAAACGCCCTTGAAATAAAGCTGGATTCACATCTTTGCCCTGAGAAACTTTCTTAACCTTCTCATAGTTAACAGGCTTTTGCATACATTCCTTCATCCCTTCCAACCAACAAGTGACCACATAATCTCTCCTCCCCAAGTCCTGATTGCCCCTTTGATAGTTCCACTTTGGGTCTTGATCTGGAACTGCAATACCTCTTGCCTGATAGTGTATATTATGGTTTGGGTTGTGAGCCAATACCTCATCTGCATGGGTCCTAGCTGTCCCCAAAATGTGTTGTTTCTCTTCCACTGTACAACACAGAGACAACAAAACATGCAGATCCTGCCAAGGAAAGACCCCTTCTGCTTGAGAAGAGGAGAGAAAAGAATGAGTGAGACTTTATTTTGCAGCTTATGTACCAGCTTGAACGCAGTGGGGAAGAGCATCAAGTGGGCTCTTGGGGTCCCAGATTGCAGGCTTTGGTTATTGGATGACATTTCTGAACCTATCCTGACCCAGAGGGAATCCTACTGTCCTGTCCTGAAGGATGAGTTCTGGGCCTAGCAGCATTCACCACAAGCTGAATGAAGAAACCTTGGGCCTTAAGAAAACATTGGAGGTACCCTGGTAGTACTTCCATAAGCATTAAGACCATCCAAGAAAACAAGACTAATATGGTTTGGCTCTGTGTCCCCACCCAAATCTTATCTCAAATTGTAAACCCCAAGTGTCAATGGAGGGACCTGGTGGGAGGTGATTGGATTATGGGGGCAGTTTCCCCCATGCTGTTCTCATGATGGTGAGTGACTTCCCACAAGATCTGATGGTTTAAAAGTGTCTGGCAGTTCCCCCTCCCTCTCTCTCCTGCCACCTTGTGAAGAAGGTGCTTGTTTTCCCTTTGCCTTCCACCATGATTGTAAGTTTCCTGAGGCCTTCCCAGTCATGCAGAACTATGAGTCAAATAAACCTCTTTTGTTTATAAATTACCCAGTCTCAGATAGTATCTTTATAGCAGTGTGAAAACAGACTAATACAATGACTTCACCAAACAAACTGAACAAGAAACCAGGCACCAATCCCAGAGAGACAGAGATATGTCACCGTTCAGAAGCAGAATTCAAAATAGCTGCTTTGAGGAAACTCAAAGAAATTCAAGATAACACATAGAAAGAATTCAGAATTCTATCAGATAAATTTAACAGAGAAATTTAAAAAATTAAAAAGAATCAAACAGAAATTCTGGTGTTGAAAAATGCAAATGACATACTGATGAATGCATCACAGTCTCTTAATAGCAGAATTGATCAAGCATGAGAAACAACTAGTGAGCTTAAAGACAGGCTATTTGAAAATAGACAGAAGAGAAAAAAGAAGAAAAAAGAAGAAAACATGACTAAAGTTCTGGAAAATAGCCTCAAAACGGCAAATCTAAGAGTTACTGGTCTTAAAGAGAAGGTAGAGAGACAGAGGAATAGAAAATTTAAAGGGATAATAACAGAGAACTTCCAAACATAGACAAAGATACCAATATTCAAGTACAAGAAGGTTATAGAACACAAAGCAGATTTAACCCAAAGAAAACTACCTCAATGCATTTAATAATCAAACTCCCACAGGCCAAGGGTAAAGAAAGGTTCCTAAAAGCAGGAGGAGAAAAGAAACAAATAACATACAGTGGAGCTCCAATACATATGGCAGCAGACTTTTCAGTGTAAATCTTACAGGCCAGGAGAGAGTGGCATAATATATTCAAAGTACTAAAGAAAAAAACCCTTTTACCCTAGAATAGTTATCTGGCAAAGATATCCTTCAAACATACAGGAAAGATAAAGACTTTCCTAGACAAGGGAAGCTGAGGGTTTTCATAAATACCATATCTGTCCTACAAGAAATGCTAAAGGTAGTTCTTCAATCTGAAAGAATAGGACATTAATGAGCAATAAGAAATCATCTGAAGGTACAAAACTTACTAGTAATAGTAAGTACACAGAAAAATATAGAATATAATAACATTGCAATTGTGCTGTGTAAACTACTCATATCTTAAATAGAAAGATGAAAGCATGAAACATTCTAAAAAGCTACAACAACTTTTCAAGACATAGACAGTACAATAATATATAAAATAGAAACAACAAAAAGTTAAAAAGCACAGAGATGCAGTTAAAATATAGAGTTTTTATTAGTTCTCTTTGGCTTATCTGTTTGTTTGCAATCAGTATTAATTTGTCATCAGCTTAAAATAATTGGTTATAATATATTATTCGCAAGCTTCATGGTAACCTCAAATCTAAAAACATTCAGCAGATACAAAACAAATAAAAAGCAAGAAATTAAAACATAACATCAGAAAAAAATCACCTATACTAAAAGAAAGACAGGAAGGAAGTAAAGAAGGAAGACAAACCAGAAAACACATAACAAAAAGGCAGAAGTAAGTCCTTACTTATCAATACAACATTAAATGTACATGGAATAAACTCATCAGTCAGAAGACGTAGAGTGGCTGAAGGGATGATTAAAAAAAAAAACAAGATCCAATGATCTGTTGCCTATAAGAAACATATTTCACCTATAAAGCACACACAGACTAAAAATAAGGGATAGAAAATGGTATTTCATACAAATGGAAAATAAAAAAAATAGAGCCAGGAATGCTGGCTCATGCCTATAATCCTAGCACTTTGGGAGGCTGAGGTGGGCAGATCACTTATGGTCAGGAGTTCACGACCAGCCCAGTCAACATGCAAAATCCCATCTCTACTAAAAATACAAAAAAAAATAGTCAAGCATGGGGGTGTGTGGCTTTAGTACCAGCTGCTTGGGAGGCCAAGGTGGGAAAATTGCTTGAACCCAGGAGACAGAGGTTGCAGTGAGCTGAAATTGCTCCACTGCGCTCCAGCCTGGGTGACAAAGCAAGTCTCTGTCTAAAAATAAAATAAAGTAAAATAAAATAAAATAAAATAAAATAGAAATAGCTATACTTACACAAAATAGACTTCAAGACAAAAACTATATAAAGAGACAAAGAAGGTTTATAAGTGCCTACATCAAAAAAGAAGGCAAGCTTCCCATAAACAACCTAATGATGCATACTGAAGAACTAGAAAAGCAAGAGAAAACAAAACCAAAATTTAGTGGATGAAAAGAATAATAAACATCACAGCAGAAATAAATAAAATTGAAACAAAACAATTCAACAAATCAATGAAATAAAAAGTTGGCTATTTATGATGATAAACAAAATTGACAAATATAAAAAAGAGAGAACACCCAAATAAATAAAATCAGAGATGAAAAAGGATAAAGTATAACCAATACAGCAGAAATTCAAAGAATCATTAGAGGCTACTGAGAACAACTACATACCAATAGATTGGAAAACCTAGAAGAAATAGATAAATGTCTAGACACATACGACCTGCAAATACATTAAACCATAAAGAAATCCAAAACTTGATAGACCAACAAGAAGTAATTAGAAGCAGTAACTAAAAAGTCTCCCAGCAAAAAACAGCTGGGACACAATGGCTTCACAGTTGAATTTTATTAAACATTTAAAGAACTAATACCAATCCTATTTAAACTATTCTTAAAAATAGAGGCAGAAGGAATCCTTCCAAACTCATTCTATGAGCACAATATTATTACTCTGATACCAAAACCAAACAAAGATGCATCGAAAAAAGAAAAAGGAAGGAAGGAAGCAAGCGAGCAAACTACAGGACAGTATCTCTGATGAACACTGATGTAAAAACCTTCAACAAAATACTAGCAAGAATAATTCAACAACACATTTAAAAGTCCATTCATCATGACCAAGTGGGATTTATCCCAGGGATCTGAGGATGGTTCAACATTTGCAAATCAATCAGTGTGATAAATCATACCAACACAATGAAGGAAAAAAAATTACATGATCATTTCAATTGATGCTGAAAATGCATTGGATAAAATTCAACATCCCTTCATGACAACAACCCTCAAAAAATTGGGCATAGAAGGAATACATGTCAACATAATAAAAACCATATATTATAGATCCACAGCTAGTACTATACCAAATGGGGAAAAACTGAAAGCCTTTCCTCTAAGGAAAAAAAAAACAAAACCTAGACTCCACCAAAAAACTATTAGAACTGAAAAACACATTCAGTAAAGTTCTAAGATACAAAATCAACATGTAAAAATCAGTAGCATTTTTATATGCCAACGGCAAACAATCTGAAAAAGAAATTAAGAAAGTAATCCTATTTATGATAACTACAAATAAAATAAAATACCTAAGAATTAAGTAGAGAATAATAAGATCACTATGATGAAGACTATAATACATCAGTGAAAGAAACTACAGAGGACAGAGAAAAGTGGAAAGATATTCCATGTTCATAGATTGGAAGAATCAATATTGTTAAAATGTCCATACTACTGAAAGCCATCTATGGATTCAACACAATGCCTAACAAAATACCAATAACATTCTTCAAAGAAATAGAAAAAAAAATCCTAAAATTCATATGGAACCACAAAAGACCCAGAAAAGCCACAGCTGTCCTAAGCAAAAGGAAGAAAACTGTAGAAATCATATTAACTGACTTCAAATTATACAACAGAGCTACTATAACTAAAACAGCATGGTACTGGGATAAAAGCAAACACAGAAACCAATGGAACAGAATAGAGAATTCAGTAACACATCCATACATCTACAGTGAGCTCATTTGTTACAAAGATGCCAAGAACATACAATGAGGAAAAGACAGTCTCTTCAATAAATTGTGCTGGGAAAACTGGATATCCATATCCAAAAGAATGAAACTAGACCCCTATCTTTCACCATATCTAAAAATTAAAACAAAATGGATTAAAGACTTAAATCTATGTCCTTAACTTATGAATGTACTGAAAGAAAACATTGTGGAAATTCTCCAGAACCTTGGACTGGGCAGATTTCTTCAGTAATACTCCATAAGCACAGGCAACCAAAGCAAAACTGGACAAATAGATCACGTTAAAAAGCTTCTTCACAGCAAAGGAAACAATAAACAAAGTGAAGAGAAAACCCACAGAATTGGAGAAAATATTTGCAAATTACACATCTAACAAGGGATTAATAACCAGAATATATAAGGAGCTCAAATAACCCCATAGGAAAAAGTCTAATAATTTGATTTAAAAAAATGGGCAAAAGATCTGAGTAGACATTTCTCAAAAGAAGACACACAAATGGCAAATAGGTGTATTAAAAGCTGATCAACCAGAGAAATGCAATGCTACAATGCAAAGCTACAATGCAATATCCTATCACCCCATTTAAAATGGCTTTTATCCAAAACACAGGCAATAACAAACACTGGTGAGGGTGTGGAGAGAAGGGAACCCTTGTATACTGTTGGTCGGAATGTAAATTAGTACAGCACTATGGAGAACAGTTTGGAGGCTCCTCAAAAAACTAAAAATAGAACTACCATATGATCTAGCACCCCCACTGCTGGGTATATACCCAAAAGAAAAGAAATCAGTATATCGAAGAGATATCTGCACTCCCATGTTTGTTGCAGCACTGTTCACAATAGCCAAGTTTTGGAAGCAACCTAAGTGTCCATCAACAGCTGAATATAGATAAAGAAAATGTGGCATATACACACAATGTAGTACTATTCAGCCAAAAAAAAAAAAACCAAAAGAATGAGATCCAGACATTTGCAACAACATGGATAGAAGAGGAACTCATTATGTTACGTGAAATAAGCCAGTCATAGAAAGACAAGATGTTCTCACTTATTTGTGGGAGCTGAAAGTTAAAACAACTGAACTCATGGAGATAGAGAGTAGAATGATGTTACCAGAGGCTGGAATGGGTAGTGGGTGGATGGGAGGAAAAGTGAAGATGGTTAATGGTTACAAAAAAATAGTTACAGCCGAGGGTGGTGGCTCACATCTGTAATCCCAGCACTTCGGGAGGCTACGGTGGGTGGATCACCTGAGGTCAGGAGTTCGAGACCAGCCTGGCCAACATGGCAAAACCCCCTTTCTACTAAAAATACAAAATTAGCTGGGTGTGGTGGCATGCACCTGTAATCCCAGCTACTCAGGAGGCTGAGGCAGTAGAATTGCTTGAACCTGGGAGACAGAGGTTGCAGTAAGCCAAGATTGGGCCACTGCACTCCAGCTTGGTGACAGAGCGAGACTCCATCTCAAAAAAAAAAAAAAAAAGTTACAAATAGTTAATATGACCTAGTATTTGATGGCACAACAGGGTGACTATAGTCAGTAGTAATTTAATTGTACATTTTAAAATATCTAAAAGTATGATTGGATTGCTTATAATATAAAGGATAAATGCTTGAGGAGATAGATACCCCACTTACCCTGATGTGATTATTATACATTGTATGCCTGTACCAAAATATCCCAGAAACCCCATAATACATATACCTACTATATACCCACTGAAGTTAAAAATAAAATTCTTTTAAAAAAAGAACCATCCAAAATTACCCCGGTGATTTGTAGAATTTTAAAAAATAAATCAAATTCCTCTTTTCCCTCTTTTCTGCTACTCTTCTCTCAGTACTTACTTCCCATGGGTATCAATTTCTACCACCAGAAAGGGAAGCAGCACACATTGCTTTAAATTAAGAACTCTGTAATATCATTATGCATTTAATCAGAAAAAGTCACTGAAGTGCTGGCGTAGAAAGAGCAGCTGGATATATGGGGTAATAGATGTCTCTTTAAGAAGGTAACTGTCAGTGCATGGGGATATGTCATCTGTTCAGCACAACATGACCCTACAAAGCAACATACAGTAAATACCAACCAAATGTTACAGCAATTGGTTGTAGGTTAGTATGGAAAAAGGAGAGTCATGTGGAGCTGGAACACATGAGGAGGATAACAGAGGGTGTAGGGTGGAAGACACTGCTTGAGGAGGGAGCTAGACATAGGATAAGATGTTCAGTTTATTTTATATGCTAGCAATCCAAGGGACACAGATGTTTTTCTTTATAATAAATGCTTTTCCCAAGTTCTCTTCCATTTGTTTAAATCTTGATTTTATTGTCCTGTATTTCAAAGACATGATCTCAAATTTTTAGTTCTGAGAACAAAAGTCTTTATAACTCAATAGAGGAATACCTTTGCTCTTGATCCTCATTTAAAACAATGACTTTTGTTACTATATGGATGGCTATGTTTTGTCTTTATTATAGTCCTGGTCACTTGTATTAGTTTGACTTATTTTGGTAAGATATTAAATCTATCTCTGGTCTTCTTTCATCAAAATTAGTCAGCTGTTTTTGACAAGCTGAAGCACACCTGAGGATTGAATAGTCCCACTGTCTGAAATCCAGACTAAAGTAGCAGTTTTCTAAATTAGGCATATTTTTTCTGAAGAGCCTTTAAGAAAATGAGAGAATGCTTAGATAATTTGAAATCCTGTGGCATCAATTATGAATTTATTTCTGGGGCATGGCTATTTGATTATGGAAAATACTGAGGTGCCTGTGCTTACAGAAGGATATTGGCACATTTGTTTTATAACATTTGCTCAAAAGCTGAAAATTCAAATCCTTTATATTCCATTTGATATCATAAAGCTGGTTTACCCTCCAGGCGTAGGGTATATTTTTTAATAATTACATTTGTTTAAGTCTTTTCTGCTGACAAACTTGTCCTGATTGAATTTTTGAATTTTTACAGTCCTTTCTTTCTCTCTCTCTTTCAATATTATCTGATCATCACCACTGTTACCAACCTCCATAAAATTGCTGGTTCAAAATTTAAAAGAGCCCTTTAAGGGAGCAAGCTGAGTAGAATGACTCAGGAACCCAACAACAGAGATTTTTCAGCTTTGCAAAATTACCAAATCCAAATCTACTTTCATAGTTTTTTCACCAGAGCAAACATCCATTTTGTGACTTTTTTTACAAACACTTTGAAGAAGCCAGCTTCACCTGAACGGCGGGGATAGGCCCATGTCAGGCACTTTTCTTTTCTCCCCACCTGCATCCCCACTCCCAACAGCCTACAGGGAGTCTTCCCAGAGTGTGATTTCAATAACAAGCCACTTGGTGACTCTCAGGTACAAACATGTTGCTATTTAAAAGCTGCCAGTCAGTCTCATTTTGTGGAGTTGCAAATCCAGGAGGCTGGATCTGATTTCTCCTGCTCACCTTTGCTGGCACAGGAGACTCTCTGCTGTGTACTATCACACTCTACAATGGCCAACTAGGTCATTTGACATCCTAGTTTCTGAATTCTGAGCACTAGGAAACACTCTTTTTTCACACGAGAATGAGTACATAACTTCCTATCATGGGAAACTAACTTTCAAAGGACCCGTGTTACATATTACCCATGTAATGCTCTAAGTTATAATACAGTCCATAATCATACCTAACACGGTCACCGAGGTACCAGTTAAAAAAGGAAGCAAATTCCTGATCAGGGTCCAGTTCTCTGTATTACCTCTGTGTGCTATCATTAGGGGAAATCGGCCTCTTCTTATGTGCAGAATTAGCAATTTTAGCTTTTACTTGCAGCTTCCGTTCCAGATTGCGAGTTTCCTAAAGGACTGTGTCTCTGAACTTCTACAGATGACATTACTCTCTAGAGGACAAAAGTGTGAACACAGAACATACCCGAGTGAAATCAAATGTCAACTTCTAAAAGTGTTGGATGAATCAAGTACAACCTGATTCAGAGAGAAGAGACAGAAAATGAATGACTTTTTCCAAGAGAAATTACTATAGCCTTGCTGGGTCATCTGAGTGTCTCTGGCTACTCAGTAGAATTGCTTCATTTGATTCCTTTAGAAAAAGATCACCTGACTGGAAGGCAAAATCTGTGAAATGCACCTCCCAGCTGGGGAATAAAAAAGACATTGCAGCAAGGCAGATGTTATTTTGGTGAGAACAGTTAAGTATTAAGAATTCAGTCTAACCACAGAGTAGCTATTTTCTCATTTGCAAAATGTATATAATGCTTTAAAGTCCTTTCTATCATATAGACAGTCATATGTATTATTACAACATTTATTTTATTTTTTTCACAGCCTGAATTCACCATAAACACCTTGAAATCCCTCCTTTGAATAACCAAATGCTCCTCAAAAGATTACGGTCGGCCAGGCAGGGTGGCTCACCCCTGTAATCCCAGCCCTTTGGGAGGCCAAGGCCGGCAGATCACCTGAGGTCAGGAGTTCAAGACCAGCCTGGCCAATGTGGAGAAACCCCGTCTCTACTAAAAATACAAAAATTAGCTGGGTGTGGTGGCGGGCGCTTGTAATCCCAGCTACTCTGGAGGCTGAGGCAGGAGAATCACTTGAACCTGGGAGGCGGAGGTTGCAATGAGCCAAGATCACGCCACTGCACTTCAACCTGGGTGACAGAATGAGACTCACTCTCTCAAAAAAAAAAAAAAAAGGATTATGGTCCATTGTAATGTGCTACAAAGCTACAGATCAGAATCAGCATGGAAGCTTTTCAAATACATGTCTGTTGAGCTTCTATATTTTTTCAGTCACCTCAGAAAACAGAAAAAGCTGAGACAATAGATTCAATTCAAAAAGTGAAGGGAAGAAATCCCTAAAATGACAAACTGTATGATCAAATTTAGATGTTGCCTTGGGGGTTGGGGAGGGAAGAACTCTCAAAAGAACTCTGGCTAAAAATACATTGTAATACAAGTCTATAAAAAATTCAAACTTAATATCGCACATCATTATATTATATATTCAACTGCAGAGAAAAATTATTTACTTTTATTCTAGAAGACAGAAGAAAAAACGAGCCATAAAATGTGGTATAGGAAGAGCCAAAATGGTAGACTAGATGCAGCCAAGAAAAGCATCTCTCACCAACATACTAGAGCATCAAGAAGACTGGCACACTGTGAGGGGACCTTTCGAAGGATGGCATTGAGAATGGATGGAGGGAGGATGCAGACCCTGGGGTGAAGGGAGAGCAAGCTGGAAATCTTGCATGGGACTGCCAAGCACCAGTACTCATTCTTGGCCCCCAGCAGCTCCTGGGGAAGAGGTGAGTTAAACAGGTGTGGAGTGGACCATTCTTGCCATGGACCTCCAGAATCCTAGCTTCAGAAGACTGCACAACCCATGGATATTCAGCTGACAGAGATTGCTGCTTGGAGAGGTGGCAGGGACAGAACACTAGCCTGAGCAGAGCCCAGAGAGTTTGGCTTGGGAAAGTCAGAGAATGGCTGGGGACACCCGTTCCCCAAGGCTCTCCATACTCTTCTTGGTGGCTTTGGTCTTTGCTGACTGTCACACCTGGACAGAGCAAGTCTGTCTTGCCCATGGAACAAGGGCAGTCTGATCTGAGTGAACCCTGTCTTCTAGCCTCCCGTGTGGTCCCTGCAAGCCCATGCCCACTTGCAGCACAGCCTTGAATGCCCAGATGGGCCATTTCCCAGCAACTGCTGCCAGAGCTCCTTCACCAGTAGACCCTGCTTAACCAATGGAGAGTTTCAGCAGACAAGCCCTCACCAACAGGCACCCAGCAGCAGCCTCTCCACACAGCTTTGCCAATGTACACTCCACCACAACGTCACCCCACCACTTTGTTGGTGCATGCATGTGCAAACCTCACCACCATGCTATCAATGGCATGCATATGCACAAACCTTCCCATCGTCACCCCACCCACAGTATGCTGTCTTCAAGAGACCCATTTCACATGCAATGACATCCACAGGCTCAAAGTAAAGGGATGGAGAAAAATCTAACAAGCAAATGGAAAACAAACAAACAAACAAACACAGAGGTGGCTATTCTAATTTCAAAAAAAAAAACAGACTTTAAATCAAAAATAATGAAAAAGAAAAAGAAGGGCATTACATAATTATAAAAGCTTCAAATCAACAAGAAGACATAACTATCCTAAATATACACATACCCAACACTAAAGCACTCAAATTCATAGAACAAGTTCTTACAGCAGTGCAAAGAGACTTAGATAACCACCCTATAATAATGGGAGACTTCAACACCCCACTGATGGTATTAGACAGATAATTGAGGTGGAAAACTAACACAGATATTTAGGACCTAAATTCAACACTTGATCCAATGGACCTAAAAGGCATCTGCAGAACACTCTACCCAACAACAATAGAATATACAATTCTCCTCATCTGCACATAACACATACTCTAAAACTGACCACACACTTGGCCATGAAACAATTCTCAACAAATTCAAAAAAACTGAAAACATATCAACCACACTTCCAGACCACAGCACAATAAAAATAGAAATTAATACTAAGATGCTTTCTAAAAATCATACAATTACATGGAAATTAAACAACCTGCTCCTGAATAACTTCTGGGTAAACAATGAAATTAAGGCAAAAATCAAGAAATTCTTTGAAAGTAACAAAAAAAAAGAGACAATATACCCGAATCTCACGCCTAAGGCAGTGTTAAAAGAAAAGACCATAGTGCTAGATGCCCACATCAGAAGGTAGAAAGATCTCAAATTAACAATGTAATATCACACCTAGAGGAACTAGAAAAACAAGAACAAACCAACTGCAAATCTAGCAGAAGAAAAGAAATAACCAAAATCAGAGCTGAACTGAACAAAATTGAAACGTGAAAAAGCATGAAAGATCAACAAACCAAAAGTTTTTCCTTTGAAAGAATAAATAAAACTAACAGATCTCTAGCTATCCTAACAAAAAAAAGTGAGGGGAAGCTCCAAATAAACACATCAGAAATAACAAAGGAGACATTACCATTGACCCCACAGTAATATAAAAAACCCTCATAGGCTATTACAAACACTTTCATGCATACAAACTAGAAAATTTAGAAGAAATTGATAAATTCCTAGAAACATGCAACCTCCCAAAATTAAACCAGGAATAAATTGAAACACTGAACAGACCAATAACAAGTTTCAAAATTGAATAAGTAATAAAAAGCCCACCAACCAGAACCAGCACTGGACAAGACAGATTCATACCCAAATTCTACCAGACATATAAAGAAAAGCTGGTACCAATACTATTCCAAAAAAATGAGGGGGAGGAACTCCTCCCTAACTCATTCTATGAGGCTAGCATCATTCTGATACCAAAACCTGGCAGAAACAGTACAAATAATGAAAACTGCAGGCCAACATTCCTGATGAACAGAGATGCAATAATCCTCAACAAAATACTAGCAAACCAAAACCAGCAGCACATCAAAAAGCTAATCCATCACAATCAAGCCTTCATTCCTGGGATGCAAGACTGGTTAAACACATGCAAATCAATAAATGTGATTCATTACATAAGCAGAACTAAAAATAAAAACTACATGACCATCTCAATAGATACAGAAAAGGCTTTTGGTAAAATTAAACATATTTTCATGTTAAAAACCCTCAACAAACTAGACATTAAAGGAAAATACCCCAAAATAATAAGAGCCACTTATGACAAACCCACAGCCAAAGTCATACTGACTAGGCAAAATGGGGAAGCATTTGGCTTGAGAACCAGAACAAGACAAGGATGCCTACTCTCACCACTCCTATTCACCACAGCACTGGAAGTGCTAGCCAGGGCAATCAGGCAAGAGAAAGAAGTAAAAGGCATCCAAACAGGGAGAGGAAGTCAAACTATCTCTTCCTAGATTATATGATTTTATACTTAGAAACCGTACAGTATCTGCCCAAAGTCTCCTAAAACTGATCAACCACTTCAGCAAAGTTTTGGGATACAGAATCGATATAAAAAAATCAGTAGCATTTCTATATACCAACAATGTCCAACCTGACAGCCAAATCAAGAATGCAATCCCACTGACAATAGGCACACACACAAAAATAAAGTACCCAAAAACACAGCTAACCAGGGAGGTGAAAGACCTCAACAGCAAGTATTACAAAACACTGTTGAAAGAAATCAGAAATGATACAAACAAATGGAAAAACATTCTACACTCACGGATAGGAAAAATCAATATTGTTAAAATAACTATAATGTCCAATGGTATTTATAGATTCAACGCTATTTCCATCAAACTTCCAATGATATTTTTCACAGAATTAGAAAAAACTATTCTAAAATTTATATGGAACCAAAAAAAGAGGCTAAATAGCCAAAATAATTCTAAGCAAAAAGAACAAGGCTGGAGGAATCGCACTACCTGACTTCAAACTATACTACAAGGCTACAGTAATCAAAGCAGCATTGTACTGGTACAAAAATGGACACATAGACCAATGGAACAAGTTAGATAACCCAGTTATAAATCCACACACCTACAACCATCTGAACTTTGAGAAAGCTGACAAAAACAAGCAATAGGAAAAGGACTCCCTATTCCATAAATAGTGCTAAGATAACTCGCTAGCCATATGCAGAAGACTAAAACTTGACCCTCGCCTTTTATCATGTGCAAAAATCAACTCAGGCAGATTAAAGAATGAAATGTAAACCCTAAAACTATAAATCCCTAGATGAAAACTTAGGAAACACCATTCTGGACATAGGTCCTGGCAAAGATTTCATGATGAAGACTCTGAAAGCAATTGCAATAAAAACAAAAATTGACAAATGGGACCTAATTAAACTAAAGAGTCTCAGCACAACAAGAAACTATCAACAGAGTAAACAGACAACGTACATAATGAGAGAAAAGTTTTAAAACCTGTGAACCTGATGAAAGACTAATATCCAGAATCTAAAAGGAACTTACACAAATTAACAAGCAAAAAACAAACAACCCCATTAAAAAGTGGGCAAAGAAAATTTAAGACCTCAAACTATGAAAATACTACAAGAAAATACTGAGTAAAATCTCCAGGGCATTGGTCTGGGCAAAAATTTCTTGAGCAATACCCCACAAGCACAGACAACAAAAGCAAAAATGAACAAACGGGATCACATCAAGTCAAAAAGCTTCTGCACAGCAAAGGATACAATCGACAAAGTGAAGAGATAACTCACAGAATGGGAGAAAATATTTGCAAACTACCCATCTGTCATGGAATTAATAACCAGAATATATAAGGAGCTCAAACAACTCTATAGGAAATATCTAATAATCCAATCAAAAATGGGCAAAAGATTTGAAAAGACATTTTTCAAAATAAGACAGACGAATGGAAATCAGGCATATGAAAATGTGCTCAACATCACTTTGAGCAAATAAAAACTATAATGAGTTATCACCTCAGTTAAAATGGCTTATATCCAAAAGACAAGCAATAGCAAATGCTGACAAGGATGTGGAAAAACGGGACATCTTGTGCACTGTGGGTGAGAATGTAAATTAGTACAACCACTATGTATAACAAATTTGTAGGTTCCTCAAAAAACTAAAAACAGAGCTACCATATCATCCAGCAATCCCACTGCTGGGTATATACCCAAAAGGAAGGAAATCAGTATATCAAAGAGATGTTTGCACTCCTATGTTTTTTGCAGCACTGTTTACAATAGCTAAGAATTGGAAGCACCCTAAGCGTTCATCAGTAGATGAATGCATAAAGAAAACGTGGTATGTATGCACACCTGAGAACTATTCATCCATGATAAAGAATGAGATCCTGTCATTTGCAAAACCATGGTTGGAATTGGAGATCATTATGTTAAATGAAGCAAGCCAGGCACAGAAAGACAAACTTCACATATTCTCACTTATTTGTGGGGTCTAAAAAAATCAAAATAATTGAACTCATAATTATAGGGAGTAGAAGGATGGTGAACAGAAACTGGGATGGGTGGTGGGGCCTGGGTCGGGGTACTTGGGGATGGTTAATGGGTACAAAAAAGTAGAAAGAAATAAGACCTAGTATTTGATAGCACAAGGTGACTATAGTCAATAATAACTTAATTGTCCACTTTAAAATAACTAAAAGAGTGTAACTGGATTGTTTGCAACACAAAGGATGAATACTTGAGGGGATGGATACCCCATTCTCCATGATATGATTATTTCACATTGCATGCCTATATCAAAACATCTCATGTACCCCATAAATACATACATCTACTATGTACCCACAAAAAATTAAAAACATAAAAATATTTTTTAAATGAGCAAAGGACATGAACAGATACTTTTCAAAAGAAGACATACATGCAGCCAACAAGCATATGGAAAAATTCTCAACATCAATAGTCATTAGAGAAATGCACATCAAAACTACAATGAGATACCATCTCACACCAGTTGGAATGGCTATTCTTAAAAAGTCAAAAAACAACAGATTCTGTTGAGGATGCAGAGAAAAGGGAGCACATAGATGTTGCTGGTGGGAATTTAAATTAGTTCACCTACTGTGGAAAGCAGCTTGGAGATCTGTCAAAAAACTTAAAACAGAACTACCATTTGACCCAGCAATCCCATTACTAACTATATATCCAAAGGAATAGAAATCATTCTACCATAAAGACACACACATGCATATTTTCACTGCAACACTACTCACAATAGTAAAGACATGAAATCAACCTAAATGCTTATCAATGGTAGACTAGATAAGGAAAATGGGGTATATATACACACTGGAATACTACACAGCCATAAAAAGAACAAAATCATGTTCTTTGCAGTAATGCAGATACAGCAGGAGGCTATTGCCCTAAGTGAATTAACGCAGAAACAGAAAATCAAATACTGTATGTTTTCACTTATAAGTAGGAACTAAACACTGAGTACACGCGGACAATAAGAAGGGAACAATAGACACCAGAACCTACTGGAGGGTGGAGGATGAGGTTTGTAAAACTAGCTGTCATTTACTATGCTTATTACCTGGGTGACAAAATAACCTGTATACCAAAGCCCCATTGCATGCAATTTTCCCATGTAGCAAACCTGTACATGTACCCCCGAACCTAAAATAAAAGTCAATAAGATAAACAAAATGTGATATGTATACACACAATGGAATACCATTCAGCCATTATAAACAATAAAATAATGTCTTTTGCTGCAACATAGATGGAACTGGAGGCCATTATCTTAAGTGAAACAACGCAGAAACAGAAAGTCAAATACCACAAGTTCTCACTTATAACTCGTAGCTAAGTAATGTGTGTACATGAACCTAGAGTGTGGCATGATAGACATTAGAGACTTGGGAGGGTGCCAGGGTGGGAGAGGGGTGAGGGATGAGAAATTACTTAACGATCACAATGTATATTACTCAGGTCATGGTTACACTAAAAACCCAGACTTTACCACTAAGCCATATACTCATATAACAAAACTGCACTCGAACCCCTTAAATTTATACAAATTATAAAAAAAATTAAAAACAAAGAAAAAGTAAAACAAGGCCTAAGTAGTTAGGATAAGAAAATTTGCATGTATCCTAAGTTTAAATCAATGCCAAAAGGCATTAAGGAAGAAAATAATACACACATTTAAGTCTTAACATTAATACAAACCCTTGTTTTCTAATTCAAAAGGAGTATTTTCCTTTAAATGAAAATGATGTGATAGAGCACATCATTTATTAATCATATCAAATATTAATGGCTGAGAATTCATAAGTAGTAGACATTTTAGAAACAAACAGTCTAGCGTCCAGCTAAGATGCCTCTAGAGATGCATTATGGTGAGGCAGGACTCAGACCTAAAATAAAAACAAATGTCTCAAATAGATTGTTGAATAGACATTTGCAAGAAAAATAATTTGTAAAATGTCTATCTTTTTACATTATGTTGGTTAAATACTTTTCTATCTATTAAAGGCTTATTTATTTTCTTCTTGTTTACTATTAAAACATGTATTTTCTTGCAATAAAAATAAACTCTGGTTTTAAAAAGAAGAGCTGGCAAAGAACAGACAGTATTACCTATGGTTCAAAATGTTGGTAAATTACTGAATCCAGCCCCAACTTTGAAACTTGTGAAACTGTCCTTGAATAACTGCTTTGGAGGCATATTCAGGAGCAAGGTATCTGTGAACCTCTGTCCTGGTGACTAAATGTGGAAAAGTTTTTATTCCGTCTGGAAGCAGACCAACAGAGAGCCCTAAATAGAAGCAGCTTAAGGGCTTAAAAGACTCCATAATTAGGCCTCTGCTTCATCTAAATGCACATGACAAACTTCAGGAATTGTTGAAGGTCTGCCTCTTTCTACCCCCATCAGTGGAATTGGAGCCAGCTTGGAGTTGAAAAACTGAGGCTGCAGGCTCAGAACAATTATCACCTGTATGGCCATGAGCGAAGCACCTTACCTCCCTTAACTCACTTGTCTTACAGTGTTGATTTCAAGCTCAAACGCCATCACGCCTGTGGCGTGTAAACTGTGAAGTGATGAGTAGCATCACTTTGGAAGTGAAATTTCTACAAACCATAACATGTAAGCAGAGCTACTGCCAGCAGGGCCAGTAGGTTGGAGTGAATTTGCAGTCCTGATGATCAATTGAGGTAATGAGAGTTATATCTACACTCTGCTCAGATTCAAATGTGGCATGCAGGGTTTTCAGAGCAATCGTTTTCTCTTCAAAGTCCTTCACAATGGGAATAAGGCACTACTCTGACAATCACAGCCACTGGCATCGGGTGATCTCAATTCACTCCACAGTGATATCAAAATTGCTGTACTACTCTGAATGCACTAGACAAGCTGGTGCTGCAGGACTGTGCAGAATTTGCAGGCACAAATGGTTAGAAACAGCAGCTGGGAGTTAACTCTAATCGTGATTTAACACCAATTAATAATGGTAATTTTCATAATCCTATTACATAGGGCTTATTGCCAAAGTTATCAAAGATATTGTGTGTTTTTAGATAACAGTGATTATTCTGGTCAGTGATGATAAAAACTGCTGGGCAGCGTGACAGATTCACGTTTCATTCATTCATTTAATTATATAGCAGACTCTATTCTGGCCATTGACAATAAAGTATTACAGAAAATACCTACTGTATGGAGCTCATTGTTTAGTTGAAAAATAGAAATGTAAATAAGAAACCAAAGTACCATAATCAGTGTTATGAGAGAAGTAAACATAGATACTACGTACTATTTGAGGGTTTTGTGGAAACTATATTATCTTTTGTTGCAAGTGTGGACAATGTTTTAGTAATGTCTTTTCCACAGCATCAAGAATTGATGGATTCGTGGAACAAACGGGCTCTACTATTTTGTTTAGCTAATATACCATTGTGGGGAGGGTGGGTGAAGAAAAGAAAAAAAAGTAGTTGGAACACCCATTGTCACTCCTAGACCATTTCTTCGAAGATGCTCGTATTGCTACTGAAATAGATGCAATCTGCGACACATGTACACCAAGCAAATACTTTATGCCTGTTTGATATCCAATTCCAGTATGTTTTTCATTTACAAAAGATCATTGCTACTGAGAAGCTTCATTGATCACAGAAAAAAATGACATTTTGTGCTGCTGGATTCACCATAATATGAACGTTTTCTGGAAAGAAAAGCATTATTGAGTTCTGAGCCTGTGCTAATGCCAGAGTGAACCCAAACCACTATTTCTTACCACTGGAACATCAAAATACAGGATTGCTACTACGCTTCTCCATAACATTGCCAGCTGGCTTCAGTTGATCTCTACTCAAGAACAGTGCCATCTGTAGAAAAGGACAGTGGCTTTTTAGGGTTAAATGGAATCTACATGTACCTCTATGTTCTGTTTTTCCATTTTACAATTCGGATTGATCATGCCTGGGGACTTTTTTCTAAGTTTAAATAGCAATCCTTCTTAAATCACTGTAGGGCAGCAAGAAAACCTTGCTGGTATTGATAATTATACATTGCCCAGAAGTTATAAAAATCAGCACTGAATGTTGTTGCTGCTGCTGCTGCTGCACATCCATCCCCAGTAATGTTACACTCCAGCTGTAAGTTTTGATTTTAACATATTTTCAAAGTCATTTCTTCATATTTAACTTAAAATATAAAACTTGGTTGTTACAGACTGAATGTTTATGTCTCCCACCCGCAAATTCATATGGGGAAGCCTTAACCTCTAGTATGGCTGTATTTGGAGACAAGGCTTCTGAGAAAGTAATCAAGGTTACGTGAGGTCATAATGATGAGGCTCTGATCCAATAGGACTTGTGTCTTTATAACAAGAGACTCGAGAGCTCTCTCACTCTCTCACACACAGGCACTGCAGGGATGCCATGTGAGCACACAGTGAGAAGGTGGCCAGTGGCAACCCAAGGAGAGAAACGTCCCCAGACAACATCCCTACTGCACCTTGATTTTGGACTTCTAACCTCCAGAACTGTGAGAAAATAAATTTCCGTTGTTGAAACTACTCAGTCTATGGTATTTTGTGATAGTAAGCCAAGCAGACTAATACAAGGGTTAAAGAAATATTGGCAAGGGGTACCAGACTAACCTGTGCATTGAACTAAGTGGTATAGAGATGTTTAATAAAAATGAGTCTAGGCCAGGCGCGGTGGCTCACACCTGTAATCCCAGCACTTTGGGAGGCCGAGGTGGGCAGATCACAAGGTCAGGAGATCAAGACTATCCTGGCTAACATGGTGAAACCCCGTCTCTATTACAAAACAAAAAATTAGCCGGGCATGGTGGCAGGCGCCTGTAGTCCCAGCTACTCGGGAGGCTGAGGCAGGAGAATGGCGTGAACCCGGGAGGCAGAGCTTGCAGTGAGCCGAGATCGTGCCACTGCACTCCAGCCTGGGTGACAGAGCGAGACTCTGCCTCAAAAACAAACAAAAAGACTCTAAACTAGAAACTATGGAGCTAAAGGAAGATAAGCCTCTGAAGCCACAATGGAAGCAATTCTTTGAGACCACTACTAAAGGATGTCAGTTTGACATCATTTTTATCAACATCCAATGGGCCCCACTCCATGACAATAGTAAAGGTATTAGAACTCTAGAGCCATTTGCTTAGAAACTTTAATTACACCAGTGACAAAATAAGCAGAGTCATGGAGTGAAAAGACAACACTTCTCTGGCCATGATCACTCAATCTGGAACCACAAGAGGGTTTATACCCACCGATATAACATAGACATGGTATTTAAAAGGGAAACCCGCTTGATTATATAATTTTAGCCTGTATTAACATGGTTCAATCTTAGTTATTTTTTTCTTTTTCAAAATTCAGTTTACATTCTTCTTTTGCATTTTTGGAATTGGCTGCATAGTAATCTTCTGTTAGTTTTCAGCCCTAACAACAACAACAAAAAAAACACATTCTCTACCTGCTACCAAACAAGTCTCAGATTTTTCCAGTTCTATATGAAAATATTCAATTTTGTATTTTCTTTTTCTCCTTCCCTTCCTTTTTTTTTGATTAACTAATATTTTTAGTATACATAATTTAGTACACATTTGGTGGTAAGCTTGTCAATATTTTTTGTAACTTCTAATATAAAAGTATTAATATCTTTTTAAAAATAACTTAAGATACAAAAGTGAAAAAGTAGCAGGCGGGCCCTGTGGCTCATGCCTGTAATCCCAGTACTTCAAGAAGCTGAGATGGGCAGATCACCTGAGGTCGAGTTTGGGACCAGCCTGGCCAACATGGTGAAACCCTGTCTCTACTAAAAATACAAAAATTAGCCAGGCGTGGTGTCGTGCACCTGTAATCCCAGCTACTCAGGAGGCTGAGGCAGGAGAATTGCTTGAACCTGGGAGGTGGAGGTTGCAGTGAGCCAAGATCGTGCCACTGCACTCCAGCCTGGGACACAGAGTGAGACTTTGTCTGAAAAAAAAAAAAAAAAAAAAAAGTAGCAGTTTTTTTAATGTGAGAATTTTTATCTTTCTATGTATTTATACTAACCAGTACAGCAGTATTGACATGTTAACAGAGAGTATATCAGAATGCAGTATTATCAGCAAGACAATATTACTAAATTCAGTAACACTTCTTAAACAATACTCATATGAAAGTTAAATGCTTTCACTAAAATGAGATATTTTACAATGCAGGTGACAGATATGCTGTGGCCACACTAGACGTATTGGTTCATGCCCAGATTGAGAGTCCTGTCCACTGACTCTGAACACTGCTTATTGCTTGTTTTGTTTTGGCTTCACTATTAGTTTTATCCTGAACCACAGTATGAAAAACTAAAATCAATCTATGAATCACATGCAAATTGATGCCACATATTATCCTTCCCTATTAAAAATGAACACAATCAAGTATTGGATTTTACTGACAATCTTCTTCGAAATGCTTTTATTCTAGGTTAAATAGTAGAAACACTGCCAGCATGAGCTTCCAAGGACTAGATTCCAGTCTCAGCTCTACCACTAACTAGCTAAGTGAACTTAGGCAATCACTTAATTTCTTAGGTCTGAATTTTTCTCATCTCTAAAGAAAATAAAATGAAATTGGTGATATACAAGACGCATCCTTGTTCTAGATTATTTCTCTATTTGAAATGAAATCCTAACTCCTGTGTCCTTGTCACCTCCTGGAATCCTTCCCTGTTTCCTCCCCTTGGACAAACTGAATTCATCTCCTTTATGCCGCCTGTGTACTGAGAATAACCCTCTCGTAGCACTTATCTGACTCATGATCTCTCACTAGACTGGAGCCTCCTGGAAAGCAGGCACCTGGTCTTTTATGTCCACAACCCCATGTTATGTGTTATGGGCTGGATGGATGCATGGCTATATGGTGAGCCAGCCAATACTTTCTGTGCCACACTTCAACAAAGTGTCTCATGAGAAGACGTATAGAAACAGCAAATAAAATTCCTCTCTTATCCTATTTAAATAGTCAATCTGGAGAAAAATATGTTCTTGCTATCTTGAAAGTGAAGAAAATATTCAGAAATAATTTAAAATCTCAGGCATGCTTATTGTAGCCAGCAGTATTCATGTAACATATATTTTAAGTTTCAAGGAAATGAAATTCGCTTGACTGCCTTATGGACAAATATAACACTTATTTTTAAATGGTTCATTCTCTTTTACTCATAAAACATACTGTCTGTAGGTTTCAGTATCTTTTATGGAAAAAAAGGTTACAATGAAATTACCAATATATCTGCTGATTTGAGGACCTTTGAGGATACAGATTTCCTACCAACCTTTATATATGGAGCACTGGTTACCCTCAAGTCCATACCAAGGTCAGACAATCCACTAGGCAGATTCACAGAATTCTGCATATCATCATATTCATGGTTATGACTATTGCAGCATAAGATACAAAGAAAATTTAGCAAAGGGAAAAGGGGCATGGGCAAAGTCTGGGGGAAGCCAGGCACAAACAAGAGTATGACAACACACGAGAAATGCTGTCAACCAGGGAAGTTCATGAAGGACTTGGTGCTTCTGGTTTTGTACTGGAGATGGTCACAAAGGCATCTTTTCCTGACATATGCCAAAATTCCACACTTCGGGAAGGAAAGTTGATATTCAGCATCAACCCACCTTGTTAGAACAGACAATTAAGGCACAGAGAGCTACTCATCAGTTAGTGGTGAGAGTCCCCCGAAATCAAGTTCACAAGAGCCAGCTTTATAAGCAAGTCTTTCAAAGGACAATAGTCATACCTGCCAGGTTAACTCTTTTTTACACAAATGGTAAAAATCATTGTGCAACAAATAGGTAAAATGGGAGGAACTGTAATATTAACTTTAAAAGTCTAATAAGAAGTTTTTAAAATGTAGGTGTCACCTGTGTTACCTTTTTATGTGTGTGTCAAAGAAGGTGTGTTGCTTACTTTCTTTGATGTATACCTAAGAGCTGGTCATCAATTTAATGAATACCATTTTGTCATTCCAGGAAATAGCATCTTGAATTGGTTAAATAAATACATACATAAAGTAAGCAAATGAGTCAACTTTCCTCTGCTTCTCTCTCATCCCTTTTCTGAATATGTTTAAACTTATTGGAAACTACGGAATTGTGTTCTTATTATTGAAAAAAAAACCCCAGCAGGTCCTTCTGCTCAATTCAGTTTAGCTTCTGACTCTCACACATGGGATCTTAATCTCCAGTAGTCTGGCAGAGCCTGTGGACCTCTCCTTAAAAGAATTGCTCTAAATGCACAAAATAAAATATGTAGGATTGCAAAGGAAACATATATTGAAATCCTATCAAAATATTTTCAAATAATTTACAGTAATCTATGTACTTCTGTCTAGCAGCAAGTCTAATAACTATCATAATTGTTAAATAGTAATGAGCATAAATGGCATTTCAAGATATCTTTGGCACATATGATATATGAAAATATCCATTAATATAATTGCTTTTGGTACTTCTAATAACACTGTAGTTGTCTAGCAACCTTTCCAATTAAAGGAAAAGCTAAATGTCAGTTAGAAAATAGATAAAATAAAATTTGTTTTCATCAAAATGTCCAGGCCCCAGGTAAAAATCTCAGGTTTCTAGCACCATGAGACCAGGAGTTCATTAACTGATTCCATTTAGATCATGAGCTGTTGAACCAATAGCAAGCAAACTTATTTTGTTTGACCACAGAATTTTAAAAACAAATCAAATCAATTACCAAACAAATGTGTTTTCCCATAAAAATGTGCTTCTGGCCTCTTGGAGAAAAAAAAATATGAGGACTAAGCAACACTAGCCCAGCATCCCCACAAGGCAATGTCCTACCAGAGTGAGTAACAGCTGTCTCGTTCACAGATGAAATGAACTCTCCATTTCCACAGTAACTATAAATCCTGCCTTACTCTTTCATGCTATCTGCCTGCTTTGTGTAGCTACTTCTTATTAATATTTATGGCATTTTCCATCTCATAACCCTCTGAATAGGCAGCAAGTAGAATAGATTTGCTTTCTAATAAAGGTGGGGCGATTCTATTCATATGCCCACTGTTGTCCCCATTTAACTTCTTCCAGTCCTCTTTTTTCAACAATTAACACACTTAAGGCCCCTGGGCAGTCACCTGATTGTAAGTAAAGTAATTGAAATACAATCTTCCTCATTTCTTTATGTATTATCTACAGCTTTGCTATTGACTAAGTTTTACCCCCTCAAAATCCATCTGTTGAAGCTCTTATCCCCAATGTGATGGTATTTGGAGATGGAGCCTTTGGAGGTAATTAGGTTTAGAAGAGGTAATAAAGTTGGGGCCAGCGCGGTGGCTCACACCTGTAATCCCAGCACTTTGGGAGGCTGAGGTGGGTAGATCACGAGGTCACGAGTTCAAGACCAGCCTGACCAACATGGTGAAACCCTGTCTCTACTGAAAATACAAAAATTAGCTGGGCGTGGTGGCATGCACCTGTAATTCCTGCTACTCTGTAGGCTAAGGCAGGAGAATCACTTGAACCCAGGAGGCGGAGGTTGCAGTGAGTCGAGATCGCACCACTGCACTCCAGCCTGGGTGACAGAGCAAGGTTCCATCTCAAAAAAAAAAAAGTTGGGGCCCTCATGAGTGACTTGGTGCCCTTATAAGACACCAATGAGCTAGCTGGCTTCCTTCCCACCTCCCATCTCTCTACCTCCCCTTCTTGTCTCTCTTATGTGGGAACACAGTGAGAAGCTGGATATTTGCAAGCCAGGAAAAGAACCCTCACCAGGGAACCAAACTGGCCAGTAATTTGATCATACACTTCCCAGCCTCCAGAACTGTGAGAAATAAATTCCTGCTGCTTAAGACACCCAATGTATCATATTTTGTTATGGCAGTCCAAGCTGACTAAGACAGCTGCTTTCATACTACAGTGGAAAAGTTGAGTAGTTGAGATTGGCCCACAAATCCAAAATTGTTTACTATCTGGTCCTTGACAGAAAAATTTTCCATTCCATGCCGTAGTTGTTTCATGGAATTCTAGTTATTCGTCAATTCGTAGAATTTGATGGAATTCTAGTTATAGCTCTAGAATTTTTACATAGAGGGGCTTAAGGATGGGTAGGAAGAGCTATATTCGCACAGTAAGCATCTTATTTTTCCTTAATGGAGATGAAGGCAAGCAGCTAAAGAAGGCTCACTTTCCTCCTTATTGCAGCCATGGAAAGCCACACACTATTCAAACCTCTCCACTGAGCCACTGGATACACATGTGTGGCCAGAACTGTACCATGCCATGGCTGACAACTTGGATTCAAAACCTGCTCCCTTACTTAGTAGGAACACACCCTTAACCAATGGCTATGATAGCTATGAGATATCAATAGCATACTAAAGACATAGTTTTGGTTATAGAATTCACAATGAATGTTCATTGCAATAATTTTTACAATAATAGCAATAAGAACAAAATGTTTTCATTAATAGATCAATTGGAATAAAGTGAATAAGTGAATGAGAAACTATAAATTGTTGACAGTGTTTCTGTGGAATATTATGGAAAAGAAAATGTCAGTGGCTTTGACAAGCTAAAACAACATGGTAGTCTAAAAAATACAGGTTTTAGAATCATAGAGATGAATTCAAATGCAGGCCCTGACTCCTAGGTTATTAGGGAACTAGCTGTTCCAGTCTTAGAAACTTAACGTCTTCATGGGTGAAATGGAGACTATACTGCTCTGTTTGTGGGTCGTTGACATTTAATAAGATATTATATGTAAACTATGTTGAAGTGCCTGGCTATATACAACATGTTCTCAGATGGTAGCTAGTATTACTACCCATTAGATAATATTTTCTCACCACTTATCTTTTTCATGAGTATATTGTTTCTCTGAAAATAAAGTGAAACTGAATGACACCCTTTTCCTACTATTTGCCAAGTTACTGAGACAATGCATCAAGAGCAGAGAGGCTAGAATTATAAAAATTGACACCAGTTATAACAGGAAACAGGTTGTGAGGGAAGAAAGCCGCTTGGTGTTACTCAGCAAATTGGCACCCATGGAGACAGGCACAGCGTTTCTGGGTCCTGTTGAAAAACCAACAACAGTTTTCTGTCTCTAGCTTGTCTTCTTATCAGAAGACTGAGTCCACACCAGTGTGCACTCAGCTGTCACAACCAATGAATGCATGTGTGTATGTGTATTTGTGTGTGTGTGTGTGTGTGTAAGAGAAAAAGTGGTGACAGATGTTCTACTGGTGATCTGTTTCCATTGTCCCTCCTTGGCCCCTTGCATTGCAAATGTGTCACTTGGTTGTTTGATATTAATCCCTCTGGGCCTGAGTATTCTCATGTGATTTGAAGGAAAAATAACTGCCCATTTTCTTTCACAGGAATATTATAAACATCAAGTCCTGAGGAATGTACGGATGTTGGATAGGAGTTTTCAGTAATCTTGCAGTATGGGGGAAGATTTTAAAATGCACATTTTAGATTGAAGGGAACTTAAAACTACAGTCTTCCCTCGGTATACGAGGGGGACTGGTTCCAGGATCCCCTCACACACCCAGATCCTTACATACCGAAGTCCTGCTGTCTGCCCTGTGGAACCCACATACAGGAAAAGTGGGCTCTTGGTATACACAAGTTTCAAATAACACAAATACTGTATTTTTCATCTGCATTTGGGCAAAAAAAATTGGCATGTAAGTGGACCCTCGTGGTTCAAACCTGTGTTATTCAAGGGCCAACCACACTACAAGAGTCAACTACCAAACAGGTTGCCTTGTTGAAGGGAAATTTGTCATTGCAGAAGGCAGAGCACAGACCAAAGGAGACATTCCTGCTTAATACTGAAAGGGACTCTGAGCTCCCTAACACATAAGTGAGAAACTTCCACATTTAGTTAATATTTAGCTTCCCTTTCCCACATTCATCATTGCCTTCACTTTCCACTATTTGTGTTTGACATAATATTCACATCTAACTATAGGTCTATTGAGCATACGTACTCTGTGCTTAAGTCTGTGTGTTCTCTACAGCTATTCATTCTTTCTCACAGATTCTGGATGCTCCATCTATTTGATAACAAACGTATGAACTGAAAATGATGTTCAAGTATAGATCAAATAAATGTGATACAGCCAGTACAAACACTACTCCTGCTAGTCTCATCCTTTCTTGGAACCCTAAGTAGGAATTACATTGATTTAATTATGTTCATTTCTATGTTGCTACAGTATAGACATTAATTTATCTCTTTGCTCAATTTCTTCCCTCCCTGTTAACTACAGAGAAGGTTTCATTTAAGCAGGTTATAGAAAGGAATGACTGTTATTTCAAAATACTTCACCACAGACAGGCGATCATTTTAGATAAAATCACTTAAGTGCAGTTATCCAAACATGTATTTCATTCTTGGCAATAAAAAAGCCTTACCCAATGCCCAATGACCTAGAAACCAGAACTAGGAGATTTCTTCATGCAAATTAAATTTGTGTCACACTCATTGGCTACAAAATGGCAGTGAAGGTTAAATGTGCAGCAGCAGTGTAAAATAAAGGATTCTTATCCATATTTGTAGGATGTGTCAATGTGGCTAATTAATTTTTGAGATAGCGTTCTTTGAAAGAGTAAACTTTGTGAATTGATTACGAAATGAGAAGTGCCTAAAGAGAGCTGAGAATGTAAAACAGGCACCCAGGTTGATTAACTTTACCAGCTTTAAAAAAATCCATATAAAAAGGTAAAAGACACTGGAGTTGATTTTATGGCAGTATTATAAACTCCAAGAACTAACTACATCATAATAGAGTTCACAGCTTGTTTCTCTTCAAGTCTGTTTTTCATTTTGTATCTTAAATGGTAAAGATTCAAATCTTTACTCATAGAAATAGGGTTTTTTTCCTTAAAAAGTAAACAAAATATAAATAAAGAGAAGGAAAATTATGCCACTTTACATTGATGGGAATTTAGTGCTGCAAAACAAAATATCTTCTCTACTCTTCAGCTAATAGAGCTGAATTAATTAATACTCTGGACACTAATAAGAAAAAGCAGACCCAGAGAACATACCCGTTTCCTCAGATTGCAAGTAAGAGTGAGATTCCTTGAGAAGGAGTTTGCAAAAGCTGTATAAAAGTCCAGGACTTTGAGCAAGGCTTCCCGCTTGATGATGTGTAGGTCACAGTACGTCAGTGCCCGGACGTTCGCACATGCATGGGCAAGGGTGGTTTCCTTCCAGAAGATGTCTCCAAATACATCACCCTTCCCTAGAAAACAGTATAAGATACATATTCAAGTATCTAACACTGTTCTTATTTAATCACTCTTGTTATTCAGTTTCATATACAGTATTGACCTTCTAGCATAATTTAGAGCTGAGGGTATAACCACATCTATAAACACATAACAATACACAATGCTTTCATATAATATGTAAAGTAACATCACCCTGAATTCAGTTATTGATGAAAATCTGGAGTGGCATGAATAAATGGATCCAACAGAGAAGCCAAACACCTCATTTTAACAAATAATTTCATTATCTTCTGCCACCTTAACTTTTCCTATTTTGACCAGAAGGAGCAAAGGTGACTTCTTAGTTTCATCCTTGCCTCTGGTCCTTCTGGTAAAGATAACAAAATGCAATACAGAAGGATCTGCTGTAACAGCCTTTATAAATCTAGGGCTGATCCAACATATATTAAATACACATTATTCAGTAACTATGTATTGTGCCCCAAGCCAATTAAAACTTGCCACAACTTAGTTCCCCAAGAATGCCCTTCCCTCTCTACCTAGTCAACCTTATACAGGTTCTCGGAGTCCAGCCCAAGAGCTCCCCATCCACAATTACAAAGCTGAAGGACCCAGGTTGAGTAAAACATGGAGACTCAAATGTATTATCCCATGAACAGTTCTATAAAAAGTGCTATACTATCATCAAATGTAGACGTCTTTTAAAAATTCTAGAAATCACACAAAAATCACCTATTCACTTCAGAGCACTACCCACTGGTGGCCTGAACTCAACCATTTATCATTTGAAATCAAGTACTTAGTTGCCCAAATAAAAAGAACGAGAAAGAGTCTAAGGTTAAAGGTCCCAAAAGGCCATTCTGCCGAGGCAGTTCCATAAAAGCCCCTGGTTTCTGAAGTGTAGTCAACTGCATTCTTTGTTCAACTTCCACGTGAAAGGAAAAGTTTTAAAGTGAAAAAGACAGGGGGAATATATCCAGGAGGGAAACATCTTCCTAGAGGCACTCTGTTAATGATTTATTCTTTCTGCACTCAAACCACAGAGGTGAGCAACTATCTGCTGTCATCATGCAGATTAAAATCAGAACTAACAGGAAAAAAAAAAGAAGAAGACCTTTATCGGGGAATCTGCCCCGATATTCACATAGGTTCTTTTCTATTTTCCCCAAGCATCAGCTGGCTTGAGAAATAAAGGGACAGAGTACAAAAGAAATTTTAAAGCTGGGCGTCCAGGGGAGACATCACATGTTGGTAGGTTCCATGATGCCCACAAGCCACAAAAACCAGCAAGTTTTTATTAGGGATTTTCAAAAGGGGAGGGAGTGTGCGAATAGGTGTGGGTCACAGACATCAAGTACTTTACAAGGTAATAGAATATCACAAGGCAAGTGGAGGCAGGGCGAGATCACAGGACCACAGGACTGAGGTGAAATTAAAATTGCTAATGAAGTTTCAGACACCATTGTCATTGATAACATCTTATCAGGAGACAGCGTTTTGAGATCAACCGGTCTGACCAAAATTTACTAGGCGGGAATTTCCTCTTCCTAATAAGCCTGGGAGCGCTATGGGAGACTGGAGTCTATTTCACCTCTGCAGTCTCGACCGTAAGAGACGGCCACGCCCGGCGGGGGGTGGGGGGCAGTTTAGAGACCTACCGCCAGGTGCGCATTCTCTTTCTCAGGGATGTTCCATGCTGAGAAAAAGAATTCAGTGATATTTCTCCCATTTGCTTTTGAAAGAAGAGAACTATGGCTCTGTTCCGCCGGGCTCACCGGAGGTCAGAGTTTAAGGTTATCTTTCTTATTCCCTGAACAATTGCTGTTATCCTGTTCTTTTTTCAAGGTGCCCACATTTCATATTGCTCAAACACATATGCTGTACAATTTGTGCAGTTAATGCAATTATTTCAGGGTCCTAAGGCAATATACATCCTCCTCAGCTGACAGGATTAAGAGATTAAAGACAGGCATAGGAAATCACAAGGGTATTGAATGGGGAAGTGATAAGTGTCCATGAAATCTTTACAACTTATGCTTAGAGATTGCAGTAAAGACAGGAATAAGAAATTATAAAAGTATTAATTTGGGGAACTAATAAATGTCCATGAAATCTTCACAATCCACGTTCTTCTGCCATGGCTTCAGCCGGTCCCTCCGTTTGGGGTCCCTGACTTCCCGCAACAGACCTTGTCTCACCCTTCAGGCCAGGCAGACAACCAGAGAGAAAAGAAAATGTGTAACCACAGAAATGAGAGAGAGACAAAGACAGTGACAAGACAGAAATAGAGAGGTTGAGTGAGTGAGATTACACATTCTTTGCTCACTTAGGTAGTTGGGAAGCTCTGAGAGAAACATAGGGCTTGATTTCAAGCTTAAGAGGCACTTCAGGGTACAAAGAGAAAACATGCACATGACTGAAGAGGTGATTAAAACCACCACATGATCATGTGATCAGCATGAAACAACAATCATGAATAGTTAATTAATCTTAAGCAATTCATTTGTTTCTGGACCCTCCAAAAATTCCTTTTAGTTCATGACACTGATGAGCAAATTAACAACCTAATAACCATTTATTTGGCCAAGGAAGGGAGATCAGAGACTTGGTAGCCAAAGAAAGCCTCTAGGGTTATACAGCATCATAATAACCAAAGGGAGGCCAAGGCAGGCGGATCACGAGGTCAGAAGATCGAGACCATCCTGGCTAACACGGTGAAACACCGTCTCTACTAAAAATACAAAAAAATTAGCCGGGCGTGGTGGTGGGTGCCTGTAGTCCTAGCTACTCGGGAGGCTGAGGCAGGAGAATGGCGTGAACCCGGGAGGCAGAGCTTGCAGTGAGCTGAGATTGTGCCACTGCACTCCAGCCTGGATGACAGAGTGAGACTCCATCTCAAAAAATAAAATAAAATAAAATGAAATAAAAAAAATAACCAAAGGAACACTTTAGCTATAGAAACTCTACCTCCTTTTATACAGATGAATTTCAGAAATCTGTACACGGTATTCTCTTCAAACTAGTAATCCCAATTATAGGCATTTATTCTAATTGCCTAAGTGCCAAATTTATTTATAAAAATGCTCACTGAAGTGAAATTTATAATTGCCAAAAATTAGAAATAAATGTCAATAAATAATGAAATATTATGCAGCCACAAGGTATCATAAATTTTACAAAGTGACATGGAGGTTATATAAGGTTATATAAAATAGTAAAAGCAGGATATCAAACTATACATACAGCATAATCTCATTTTATGTACCCCATCTCCCCACCCCCAAACATACACACATACATGCACACAAAGCACAGAAGTAAATGCATCAAAATGGTAGGTCCTCTCTGCGTTATGGAACAATGTATGGTTTTTATTTTGTCTTATAATTTGTGTAATACTTTGTAAACAGAAGAGATCAACAACTGTTATATTACCACAGTTCTTGATGGTACCAAAAAAAGCCAAGCTTTTAAAGGGCTGCTTTGATCTACCTCTTATTTCTTTTCCTTTTTATCCTCTTTCCATACTGGATTTTTCCTTCAAGAGATAGAAAAAAGGTTACATTTCTCTATGATTCATTTCTGTATCATTTTCTCAAATTGTCAATTATAATCCTTTACCCATTTATGAGTGCTCATTACTTTTCAGCTATTTTGTTTTCATATATGGTACACTTAAGAATAATCAATGCTTTTGACTCAGTATTTTCACTTCTGAGAATCAAAAGATTAGAACTACTGCATGTAATATTCACTATAGTGTTATTAATGATAACCCTAGATTTTTTTAAAACCCTATATGTCCAATAGCTATGGCAATTGTAAAAATATGTGTAAAATATTAATGTCCAAAGAATTAAAACAGCTTTTGAGGTAACATGCAAAAAATTCCTAACTTATAATGTTAATTAAGAAATAAATGAAGAATAATATGAATATGGTTACAACTATAACAAAATATATAAAAATGAAACTGAGGTGCCAAGACTAAAAGAATTGTCAATTAAGAAATCTACTTTATCTTCTTTTCTTAAGAAAATTCTCTTGATAGAACCAAAGTATAATGTATTTTATAATTATATGTTATTATATATAATTTATTAGTCTATTCTCACACTGCTAATAAAGAATGAAGACATACCCAAGACTGGGTAATTTATAAAGAAAAGAGGTTTAATTGACTCACAGTTCTACATGGCTGGGGAGGCCTCACAATCATGGCCGAAGGCACATGAGGAGCAAAGTCACGTCTTACACGGTGGCAGGCAAGAGCGCTTGTACAGGGGAACTCCCATTTATAAAGCCATCAGATCTCATGAGATTTATACACTACCATGAGAACAGTATGGGGGAAACTGCTCCCATTATTCAATTATTTCCACCTGGCTCTGCCCTTGACATGTAGGGATTATTACAATTCAAGGTGAGATTTGGGTGGAGAGACAGCCAAACCATATCATTATACTATGTTATATAAATTTATCAATTGATATAAATTGAGCTAAAAGTCTAAAGGAATACAAGACTAAAAGAAAATGCATTTAAATAATAATAGCAACTGGATTTAAGTGGTGTGTTTATGGGTCTTTTTCTTCCTACTGTATGTTTTCCAAATTTTTCTACATTAAAAAACAGCAAACCATTTTCACCGATGTCTTTCATTATACTTCTTAATAAAACTGAATTCATAAAATACATACATAGACTTGTAGATTGTGAATAAATATTCATTGATTATTAAGTGCATTGTCAACAGGTAAAAGGTACTCAAAATATAAAGGTAATTTCTTCTTACCAATATGGGCCATTTTTAATTACAGAAGCATTCAAATATCTGTTACATATTTTATTTAACTTAACTGATGAAATTAAAAATTCTTACACTATTTCTACCTAAAATTTTGAAATTTAAATTATTACATTAAATTACTATGTTTTTCGTATCATGGGGAAATAAAAAGTCTATGATATAGTAAGAATAGCAATAAACTAGAGTATGAACTCATGATAAACTTTATTTCCTGCTCCTCTCCCAAAAAAGTTTAGAAAAGCATAGCAAAATTAACAAAAGTAGATAATTCTGCCCCCAACATCAGAATTCACTTTGTGTAATAAGCAATACTAATTGTTTCATTATATAGAATTTTCATTGGGATATGCAATATGTAAACTGGATATTAAGCTAATCAACCATTTCAAAGTGTGTTTACTTTGTTGGCTTTCTATGTCACCTATGAGGCAATCAATTCACAACAAACTTTTACCGTGTTTCTGGGACTATGGTCATCTTTTAAAAAAATTAATTAATTTACCAGCCAAAGTAAAGTTGGTTAATGTCTTTCTTCAAGCATATTATGCACATTTACAGTAAGTCATCCCAGAAATCATAGGCTGTGAAAATGTGGTGTTAGGCATAGAATATCTAACGTGCATGCATCCAATATGCATGGAATAGCTAATGAAGAAACACTTTTCTTTACTGTACAAAAGATTTTGCACACTTTCAGGGCTGGGAACTCCGGTTCATCTACTTGACTACAGAACATTTGATGCTGGTTTTTAGGTCAGCTCCCGCTGGGTACAAGTAGTCTCTGCTATAAACATTTTAGAGCTAGAGATAACTAACCTCCCCTCAAAGTACTAAAATTAGTAGAAAGCTTGTGCTAAACATGAAAGTTGTTGTTTGGTCTATTTATATTTTCTCAGTTCTTTTCATCAAGTCTTATGAAGTATTTCACTGTTAAACTACAGGAAAAAGGATTGTAAAACAGAAATAATTGTTAAAGACTCATATAGTAGGAAACTGGAACATTTAAGACAAAACAGAGACAGAGTTACAACATAATTAAAGGAGTAATACAGACTATGGTATGCTTAGGGATTATGGTCCCCAAAGGGGCTGATTTTATAGCCAGATTTATTTTTTCAAATGTGAGACACATTATTTGGTGAGTTAATGACATGAATAAAATAAATGCATAAAAATTTCCACAGTTAGGCAGGGCACGGTGGCTCATGCCTGTAATCCCAGCACTTTGAGAGGCCAAGGTGGGCAGATCACAAGGTCAGGAGTTTGAGACCAGCCTGGCCAACATGGTGAAATCCCATTTCTACTAAAAATACAAAAATTAGCTGGGCACAGTGGCGGGCGCCTGTAATCCCTGCTACTCAGGAGGCTGAGGAAGGAGAATGGCTTGAACCCAGGAGGCGGAGGTTGCAGTGAGCCGAGATCACGCCACTGCTCTCCAGCCTGGGTGACAGAGCAAGACTCAGTCTCAGAAAAATAAATAAATAAATAAATAAAAATTACCACAGGTATTCATCAGTGAGAACTGCTAACTAATATCCAACAGGTTCCAAACAAAATATCTTTTGAATTTTACTTAGGTAGTTTTGTGTGAGTTTAGGGGTGTGATAGTGGCTCTATTTGAAGATTTTTCTATATAATGAACTTAATCCATGCCTTCACTTCTTTTTTTAGTAAGTTTTATTGTATATACTTGAGATTTAACATGTAACATTATGGAACACATAAAGATAGTAAAATCACTATAGTGAATCACTATAGTGAAGCAAATTAACATGTCTATCATCTCACATATTTTTGATTGTGTGTGAGATGAAAGCAGCTAAAATCTACCTATTTAACAAAAATTTGTATTACAATACAGGCATAATCCTCATTTTATTGTGCTTTACCTTACTGTGCTTGGCAGGTATTATGTTTTTTACAAATTGAAGGTTTGTGGCAACTCAGTGTCGAACAAGTCTATCGGTGTCATATTTCTAACAGCATGTGATCATTTGATGTCTCATTTTGGTAATTCTCACAGTATTTCTAATTTTTTCATTATTATTATATCTGTTATGGAAATCTGTGATCAGTAATCTTTCATGTTATTGTTGTAATTGTTTGGGGCCACTACAAACCACACCCATATAAGATGGCAAACTTAATCAATAAATATTGTGTGTGTTTTAACTACTCCACTGATCTATCATTCCCCAACTCCCTCTTCCTCTCCTGGGGCCTTCCTGTTTTCTGAGACACAATAATATCGAAATTAGGCCAACCAGCAACCTTAAAATGGCTTCCAAGTGTTCAAGCAAAAGGAAGAGTCACAAATCTCTCATTTCAAGTCAAAAGGTAGACATAATTAAGCTTAGTGAGGAAGCCATGTCAAAAGCTAAAATAGGCTAAAAGCTAGGCCTCTTGCACCAAACAGCTAGCCAAGTTGTGAATGCACAGTAAAAGTTCTTAAAGGAAGTTACAAGTGCTACTCCAGCGAACACATGAATGACAAGAAAATGAAACAGACCTACTGCTGATAAGGAGAAAGTTTTAGTGGCCTGGATAGAAGATCAAACCAGACACAACATTCCCTTACGCCAAAGCCAAATCCAGAGCAAGGCCCTAACTATCTCCAATTCTGTAAAGGCTAAGAGAGGGGAGGAAGCTGCAGAAGAAAAGTTTGAAGCTAGCAGAGATTGGTTTATAAAGTTTAGGAAAAGGAACCATCTCCACAACATAAAAATGCAAGCTGAAACACAAGTACTGATGTAGAAGCTGCAGCAAGTTATCCAGAAGATCTGCTAAAATAACTGATGAAGGTGACTAGACTAGACAACAGATTTTTAATGCAGATGAAACAGCCTTCTATTAAAAGAAGATGCCATCTGGGACTTTCATAGATAGAGAGAAGTCAAAAACTGGCTTCAAAACTTTAAAGGATAGGCTAACTTGTTAGGGCCTAATGCAGCTGGTGACTTTAAGTTGAAGCCAGTACTCCTTGATTATTCCCAAAGTCCTAGAATCTTAAGAATTATGCTAAATCTACTCTGCCTTTGCTCTATAAATGGAAGGACAAAGCCTGGATGACAGTGCATCTGTTTATAGCATGCTTTACTGAATATTTTAAGCCTACTGTTGAGACCAACTGCTCAGAAAAAAAGATTCATTTGAAAATATGACTGCTCATTGACAATGCATCTGGTCACCCAAGAGCTCTAATGAAGATCTACAAGACGAATGCTGTTTTCATGCCGGCTAACACAACATCCATTCTGCAGCCCATGGATCAAGGAGCAATTTTGACTTTCAAGTCTTATTATTCAAGAAATATACTGGTAAGGCTATAGCTGTCATAGATACTGATCCATCTAAAGGATCTAGAGAAAGTAAATGGGAAATCTTCTGGAGAACATTCAGAATTCTAGATGCCATTCAGAACACTTGTGATTCATGTGAGATGTGAGAAAGCCAAAATATTACTATTAACAGGAGTTTGGAAGAAGTTGATTCCAACCCTCATGGATGACTTTGAGAGCTACAGACTTCAGTGGAGGAAGTAACTGCAGATGTAGAAACGGCAAGACAATTAGAATTAGAAGTGGAGCCTGAAAATGTGGATGACTTGCTGCAATCGCACTATAAAACCAACAGGTGAGAAGTTGCTACTTACGGATGAGCAAAGAAAGTGGTTTCTTGAGACAGAATCTACTCTTAGTGAAGATGCCATGAACATTGTTGAAATGACAACAAAGTACTTATACTAGTTCATAAACTCAGTTGATCAGACAGAGTGGCAAGGGTTTCAGAGGACTGACTCCAATTTTGAAAGAAGTTCTACTGTGACTAAAATGCTATCAGTCAGCATCACATGCTATAGGAGAAATATTTTATGAAAGGAAGAGTCAATTGATGCAGTAAATTTCATTGTCATCTTAGTTTAAGAAATTGCCCCCTCTATTCCACCCTTCAGCAACCACCAATCTGATCAGTCTGTATCTGTCAACATCAAGGCAGGACTGTCCACCAGCAAAAAGATTACAACTTGCTGAAGGCTCAGATGATCATTAGCATATTTTAACAATAAAATATTTTTAAATTAAGGTATATGCATTGTTTTTCTAGACATAATGTTATTGCACACATAATAGACTAAGTATAATGTGAACATAACTTTTATGTTCCCTGGGAAACCAAAAAATTGGTGACTCTATTACAACATTGGCTCTATTATGGTGGTCTGGTACCAAACCAACAAAATCTCTGAGATATGTCAGTACAATATTATTAGCTATAGTCTTCATCTATACATTAGATCTCTAAAAATATTCATCCTACATGTGTGCTATTTTCTATCCTTTGACCTACATGTACTCATTTCCTCCCACCCTACTCCACATCCCCACCACTGTTTTATTCTCTATCTTTGTATATTTGACTTTTTAAAAAGATTCTACATATAAGTGAGATCATGCAATATATTATTTATGTGTCTGGTTTATTTCACTTAGCATAATGTCTTTAAGGTTCATCCATGCTGTGGCAAATGGCAGGCTGTCTTTCTTTTTTAAGGTTGAATAATATTCCATTGCATATACATACTACATTTTCTTTATCAATTCATCCATCAATGGATACTTAGGTCGTTTCCATATCTTGCCTATTGTGAACAATACTGCAATAAACATGGGGGTGCAGATATCTCTAGGAGGTGATAAATTCATCACCTTTGGGTATTTACCCAGTAGAGGGATATTGAGTCACACAGTAGTACTATTGTTAATTTTTTAATAAACCTCCATATTGTTTTCCATAATGGCTGCTCCAAACTACACTCCCACCAACGGTATTCCAGGATTCTCTTTTCTCCACACCCTCATCAACATTTATTATATCTAGTCTTTTTGATAATAGTCTTCCTAACAGGTGTGAGGTGATATCTCATAATGACTTTAATTTGCACTCCCCTGATGATTAGTGATTTGAGCACCTTTTCATATACCTGATGGTTATTTTTATGTTTTATTTGGAGAAATTTCTGCTCAGGTTTCTTGCTCACTTTTTAATAGGGTTATTTATTTTCTGCTATTGAGTTGTAAGAGTTCTTACATATATGTGGTTTGCAAATATATTTCCCAGTCTACAGGCTGCCTTTTCATTTTGTTGATTGTTTCCCTTGCTGTACAGAAACGTTTTAGTGTGATGTAACCCTATTTATTTATTTTTGCTTTTATGGCTCAAGCTTTTGGTGTTATATCCAAAAAGTCATTGCCAAGGCCAATATCAAGGTGTTTTTTCCTGTATGTTCTCATCAACGTGTTTTATGGTTTCAGGTCTCACAGGCATTTTATCCATTTTGAGTTGACTTTTTTTTTTGTATGGGTGGAAAATAAGGTCCTAATTTTATCCTTTTGCATGTGGAAATCCAGTTTTCTCAGCACCATATATTGAAAAACTATTAATTTCCCATTGTGGCCTTTGGCACCCTTGTTGAAAATTAGTTGACCGTATATGTTTGGATTTATTTCTGGGCTCTCTGTTCTGTTCTACTGCTCCGTGTTTCTTTTTTATGCCAGTACCATACCGTTTTAATTACTAGACATTTGTAATATAATTTTAAATCAGGAAGTGTGATGCCTCCAACTTTGTTCTTTCTCAGTATTGCTTTTTGTCTATTTGGGTTTTTTCTACAGCTTCATAAAAATTTGAGGATTGTGTTCTCTATTTCTTTAAAAATGTCACTGGAATTTTGATAGCAATTGCTTTGACTATGTATATTGCTTTGGCTAGTATGTACATTTTAACAATATTAATTCTTATAACCCATGAACATAGGACATATTTCCATTTATTTGTGTCTTCTTCAATTCTTTCCTTCTTTTTTTTTTTTTCACTGTTCCTTGTGGAGCAGGGCTAACTTATTGGTGGTATACCCAGAGTCAGCCAATTTCTTTCATCAGTGCTTTATAGTTTTCTGTGTACAGATATTTTACCTTTTTGGTTAAATTCATTACTATGTATTTTTTGTAACAATTGTAAGTGAGATTTTTTTCTTGATTTCTTTTTCAGCTAAGTCATTATTTGCATATAGAAATGCTGCTAATTTTTGTATGTTGATTTTGCAACCTGCAACTTTATTAAATTTATTTATTAGTTCTAATGAGGTTTTTGTAGAATCTTTGGCTTTTTCTACATATAGAATCATGTCATCTACAAACAGAGATAATTTTACTTTTTTCTTTCTGTTTTAAATGCCTTTCATTTATTTTTCTTGTCTGATTGCCTTTGCTAGTAATTCCAGCGCTATATTGAATAGAAGTGGTAACAGCAGGCATCCCTGCCTTGTGCTGGATCTTAGTGGAGAAGTCTTTAGTTGTTCCCCATTGATCATGGTGTCATCATTACTAGACCATCATATAGGAAATGCTTAATGGAGTTCTTCAACTGGAAATGAAAGGATAATAACTACCAAAATGAAAATATATGAAAGTATAAAACTCACTGGTGGAAGTAAATACACAGTCAAAAGCAGAATATTCCATTACTATAGTAGCAGTATGTAAATCTTCCAAATCTCTAGTATGAAGGTTAAAAGTCAAAATGGTCAAAAATAACCATAGCTACAGTAAGTAACTTACAGTAAGTAAGTCACAAGAAGGAAAAAAAAGGACCTACAAAATAACCAAGCAACAATGACAAAAGGGCAAGAATAAGTCTTTACCTATCAATACCCTTAAATGTAAATGGATTAAATTATCCAATCAAAAGACAGGGTGGCTGAATGGATATTAAAAAAGAAACAAGATCTAACTATATTCTACCTATAAGAACTATTTTAGATTTAAGGACACACATGGGCTGAAAGTTAAAGAATGGAAGATATTCCATGCAAACAGTAGCCAAAAGAGAGCAGGAGTGGCTATATTTACATCAGATAAAATAGATTTCAAGTCAAAAACTGTCACAAGAGACAAATAAGCTCATTATTTAATGTTAAAGGCATCAATTTATCAAGTATATAACAACTGTAAATATATATGTACCCAACATTGGAGCATCAAAATATATAAAGCAAGTGTTAATGGACTTGATGGAAAAAATGCATAGAGATGCAATAACAGCACAGGACTTCAATAACCCACTTTCAACAATGGATAGATCAACCAGACAAGAAATTAATAAAGAAATACTCGACTTGAACTGTATTCATTTTTATTTATTAGTTGGCCCTTCACTATAAGTTATCATTGCAATTGGCTCATAAACTTCATTATAATTACATAGGCCCAAAAATATTCATTTATAGATGAATAAGACTATATGATTTTTAATTACATTATTTTAAATGGACTTCAACTATGTACAAACTGCAAGGGTCATAAAGTAATATTTTAAAAAGGAAGAACAGAAAGAACAAAATGAGTATTAAAATTAAGAAATTACATAGTTTTATTAGAATAAAATCTTTTAAAACATTTAGAAATGATGTCTGCCAGTCTTCAATGATTGATGTCCAAAGTCATTATGTTAAAAATTATCATAAATACTAGCTTGAAGACATTTTCAGAGAAGCAAATAATAATTCTTATCTATTAAAAAAATAAGTGATTTAGCTCGTAGATTTTTTTTACACACATAAAGAATGAGCCAAATAGCTCTTATTAAGCAGAAGTAAAGAGAAGGTATCCTGACATCAGTAAGAAGCTACCTTTAAGGAGGTAGAAGAAATGATAATAAACATGCTGATTATCCTGAGTTTGGCACTATTAGTGTTAAGAACAAATTGATTGCATATAAAAATCCAAATATATGCCTAAATCAAGAAAGAGAATGGCATATTATAAAAAAGAAATCCATGCAAAAGACTAATTTGGAAATCAATTACATCTTGAAACTCTCCTGTTTTCTTTTTCTAAGAAAACATTTAGAGTTGAAGCCTACGATATCGTTCATATTATAACTAAGTCTTAGAACTTTTGCAACTGTGAAGTGTGAGAAATAATGGCTGTCTTTTCTACCTCATTCAATTAACGAATCTGACATCCTGACTCAACCCTAACTCTAACCTATGATGCAATAATCTGACTTCTGAGTATGTATCCAAAAGTATTGAAATCAAAATCTCAAAGAGATATCTGTACTCTCATGCCCATTGTAGCTTTATTCAAAATAGGTAGACATGGAAACAACCCCAGTATTTATCAGCAGATGAATTGATAAAGAAAACGTGGCGTATGCATACAATGGAATATTATTCAGCCTTTGAAAAGAAGAAAATTCTGTCATTTGCAATAATATAGGTGAACCTGGAGAGCACTATGCCAAACAAAATAAGTCAGTTGCAGAAGTACAAATATTTCATGATTCCACTCATATGAAGTGTCTATAATAGTTACATTCATAGAAGCAGAGAATATAATAGTGGCTGTCAGGGCTTGGAAGATGGGGGAAAGGATAGTTTTTGTTCAATGGGTATACAGTTTCAGTTATGCTAGATGAATTAAGTTTTAGATATCTGCTGTACACATAGAGCCTATACTTCACAACACAGTACTGTGAACTTCAAAATTTGTTAAGAGGGTAGATCTCATATTAAGTGTTCTTACCATGAAAAAAGGACAGAAGAAAGCTATGGGAGTTTTAGGATGTGTCTATTACCTTGATTATGGTAATGGTATTAAGAGTGTTTGCATATACACAGACTCATCACATTGTGTGCATTCAATATGTGTAGATATTTGTGTATCAATTATACCTCAATAAAGGTGTGTTGCTGTGATAGAAATGTGTATGAGTATGGGCAGTGATCACAGAAGCGTATAGAGAAACAAAAAGCAATCACAAGGATAAAGGAGTGAGATTCAAAGCACAGGTTTTCTTTTTTTCTTTCTTGTATTATTGTTACTTGTCTTCTGTTTTTCCTTTACCTTATGCTATATTATTTATTTATAAAATAAAATGCTACCACTTAAAAAATTTTTTTAAGTTTTTTGAACTTTTGTTCAAAAGTTGAAACATTTGCTTTATGCTGTGAGGGGATAGGCAGATTCAGGAAATAGAAATCTGGCTCTCAAGAAGTCTTTAATTTTGTGAGTAAGAGAGACAGACCAAAAAAATTACAAAATAGAAGAAAATGAAGTAAGTGTATACAGATCAGGATAAGCAGAGCACAGAAGAAAAATATTGTTTTTAATTTAAAGAAATTAGGAAAGACCTCACAAAGAAAGAAAGCTTCATTTCCACTTTAACATTTACCAACTAAGTAGACTCTGAACTCTTCCATAACCCAGATGAAAGAGGAGAGTGGAATGTAACATCCCTATCTTGTGTTCTAAGAACTCATGACATTCACACTCTGGGCTCAGTTCTCCTCAGTCCTAAACACCTTCCTCATGGTAAACCAGTCACTTGGAGAAGGACAGTATTTATAGATACTTAGTAGCTGATTTAGCCAATTCATACTTAACTAAGTACCTTAGGTAATATTTGGTGAAGGGTTTTTGTAACGTATACTGTTATGGTGCCTAATTCTTGGCAGTGGTGTTAGAGAAATCTTTTTTAAAAAATAAAAATAAATAAATTGGTAAAGGTAATATAGGTACTCTTATTTTCCATTAAGATTAAACCAAACAGTTGTACTATAATTTCAAAATTCTATTTCAAAATTCCTGTTAACCAGAGCATCATTTTTTTTTTTTGTAATTTGATGGGTAAAAGCATGCACATAATGTCAGACAGGTCTGAATTAAAATCCTGTACCCACCAATTACTTACTAGCTGTGACCCAGGGAGAACCACTTGATATTACAGAGTTTCAGTTTCTTCCTCTGTAAGATGACTACAATAATTACTTTCTTCACAGGGTTATTAAACGACTTGGTATAATAATGTATACAAAATAATGAGCACTCCATTAATAATTATTGGTATTTTAATCAGACTTCCAAAGACGCCCAAGTGTATTTTTCAAAAATACACTTTAAAAGTTTGTTAAGGAATATTAAAATCAAAAGGTATCTGTTGGCTTTACATTTTACTTAAGTGGGTGGGGGCTCATTTGCTAATGGAAAATATGATTTTCCTTTCTTTAAATCCCTTTTAATTCTTAAATGTTTATGTATTAATGAAATTAATTCAGATTTATTGAATCATTCATTCTAGTTGATGACAAAAGCAATGTCACTTTAGGAATTAAAGCTAAATTTCCTTCAATGAATGTAATTTAAAGTTTTCTTATTATGGTCAACAAGCAGGTATAAGTTAGTTCCTTTCCTGGCACTGGGGATCCGTGATGGAGAACAAGAAAGGAGCAACTTATCAGAGAGCCGTGTGTGGTCTGAGATACTTAACACAGTTTCCCCCTCAATTATCTTTGTTCAAATTGCCTAGTTAACAGTAGGAAAATGTTTCTTCTGCCTATAACAGATCTAAACTAAAGTTATGGGCTTTTGAGAAATGCATTTTACTATAAACCTCTATCAACAAAGGAGGAACAGAGGGCATAGAGGAAATTGGCAAGTGAGTCAACAGAACACAACATATTTTTCTGGGTACCCAGAACTGAAACAATTATGAAAACAGTTTGTTGGCAAAATATAGCAGAGTTGGCCCTCCATACCTGTGGGTTTCTCATCAATGGATTCAATGAACCACAAATAGAAAATATTTGGGGTAAAAAATGGATGGCTGCGTCTGTACTAAATGTGTACAGATATTTTTTCTTGTCATTATTCCCTAACCAATAAAACAACTATGTACATAGCATTCACATTGTGTTGGGAATTATAAGTAACCTAGAGATGATTTTAAATACACAGGATGATGTGCATAGGTTGTATGCAAATACTACACCATTTTACGTAAGGGACTTCAGCATCCTCAGAGTAGGGTCTCTGTGAGGGTGTTCTGAAACCAATCCCTTGTGGATACCAAGTAACAGCTGTACTAGCTAATCTGTCTCACTCACAATAGCCTTTACTGAGAACCTATTGAAGAGATCCTATCATAGATGACAGAGAGACAAAAAGGAACAAGAAATTTCAAGTGGTCACTGTGCAGTGGGAGGATAAACAGGGGAAGGATAAAAATAGGAGGTACTAAGAACCCTGTATAGGCATCCAAGTGGAAGCACAGAACAGAGGCATCTAATCCAGACTAGGGCAATAAGGGAAAAATAAAATAGAACAAGGAAGCAAGAGACAAATCACTAAAAAGGAGAGAAAAAGTATTCTAAATAAAGGAGCAGTATATGCAACAACCTGCCAGGAAGAGGGAACTTTGTTAAACTCAGGAAACTTCCTGCAATTCAGTACGGTGAGAATAGGGTAGGGATAGACAATGACACAAATCAGGCCAGAAAGAAGAGCAAAAGCCAGACCCAAATGGCCCCATAAGCCATGCTCGTAGTTACATTTTATCCTCAAGATACTGGAAATACTAATGAGGAGATTGACACAATTATACCTTAGGAAGATTATTGTGGTGGCAGCGAAACATTGAAATGGAGGTTGAAGCTGATGATAGATTTATTAACTCCTGACCTCAAGTGATTTGCCCACCTCGGCCTCCCAAAGTGCTAGGATTACAGGCATGAGCCACCATGCTGGGCCTACAGTGGATTTTAAATAACTGATTCTACTTAAAATAGAATCTTAATTCAAGTGCTAAAGACTCTCTTTCGTATTAAGTTGATTTAATTATGTTATTCCTGTCCTCATTTATGCTCTTTTTCCCAACCCCATAACAATTTCAATCCCTCCTTCCAAACCATACATAAACAAGCATAGCTCTCTTGAGAATTTGAAGTTACAATTGAAAGACTTAGATAGAGATTGTCTTAGTTTAATAACTCTAACCCTATGATTCTATGATAGATTTATGAGCAGGTAAGTCTAATGACTAAGATGGTAGTCATGGCCCATGTGAACCTGGAAAATCTGAGACAGGTCTTGGTTAATTTAGAAAGTTTATTTTGCCAAGGTTGAGGATGCACCCGTGACACATCCTCAGGAAGTCCTGACGACATGTGCCCAACATGATCGGGACACAGCTTGGTTTTATACATTTTAAGGTGATATGAGACATCAATCAATATATGTAAGAAGTACATTGGTTCCAGTCTGGAAAGGTGGGACAACTTGAAGCAAAGGCAGGAAGACTGGAAGCAGAGAGGGAGCTTTCAGGTCACAGATAGGTGATACACAAATGGTTGCATTCTTTTGAGTTTCTGATTAGCCTTTCCAAAGGAGGCAAATCAGATATGCATCTATCTTAGTAACTTTGAATAGAATGGGAGGCAGATTTGCCCTAAGCAGTTTCCAACATGAATTTTCCTTAGTGATCTTGGGGGCCCAAGATGTTTTCCTTTCACACCCAGGACCAAAATTTTAAGAACACTGACTGTGGTAAGGGATATTAAGAATAGGATTAAAAGATATCAAGGGGATAGGATAAATTAGTTTTGAAGGATGATGGAGGGAGGGTTTGAAGTTTAATCTAAACTACCAAGATTGTTAAAACTCCTATTTTATTCCAAAACCTGCAGGCTGAGGAACTCTAAAAGTGTATATTTTGAACCATAGATAAACAATGTTATAATTGCTGCTTAAAATGTTTAAAACAAGACAAGTATGCATGTTTTTAAAAGCAAACAACTGATTTGCCCTTTATAAAAATATCTGAATTAAGTAATTTCATCATCATGATCTATAGAACAAATCTACATGTTTCACAGTTCCGCATCTACAACACAGAAGTATGGGTGCAAAAGAAAATGATTTTCTGGAACTTGGGAAAAACCCTTTTAAGGATTTAAACTGTGAAGCATTTGACTTCTAACAGCAAGTGCACAGGAAGAAATATAACTACAGCATAAAAATCACATTCTCACAGATTCTCAAAATAACAAAATATTATTCATTCACATCTCATTTTTTCTTTTTGTAATAAAAATAAGGAGATTTTTAATTTTGAGCAGTATAAGTTATAAATTTTCTTTGATAATGCACACGTTTATAATTTTTTTTTTTTTTGAGACAAAGTCTCACTCTGTCGCCCAGGCTGGAGTACAGTGGCGTGATCTCAGCTCACTGCAACCTCAGCCTCCTGGGTTCAAGCAATTCTCATGCCTCAGCCTCCCAAATACCTCCCAAATACAGATATATGCCAGCAAACCCAGGTAATTTTTGTATTTTTAGTAGAGATGGGGTTTCACCATGTTGGCCAGACTGGTCTCCAAGTCCTGACCTCAAGTGATTAGCCCACCTCAGCCTCCCAAAGTGCTAGGATTACAGGCATGAGCCACCATGCCCAGCCTACAATGGATTTTAAATAACTGATTCTACTTAAAATAGAATCTTAATTCGAGTGCTAAAGACTCTCTTTCGTATTAAGTTGATTTAATTATGTTATTCCTGGCCTCGTTTATGCTTTTTCCCAATTCCATAACAATTTTCAACCCCTCCATCCAAACCATACATAAACAAACATAGCTCTCTTGAGAATTTGAAGTTACAACTAAAAGACTTAGATAGAGATTGTCTTAGTTTAATAATTCTAACCCTATGATTCTAATAATCAATGAACACAAAGACAAAATGAAAATACAACAAAACAAATGTCTTAGGAGCACGGTCTATTGTTAGCAGGGAAATGTCATTTTTATAACCTCAGAAAGGCACAATATACTTGTCAAGACATTGAGAAGTAACCTGGCTATTTCAGCCATACCAACAAATCTGTTCACATTAAGTAATTATAGGATAGGAACTAAAAAGGAATAAGACATTAAAGAATATAAAATATTATGTATGCATCACGAACTTAATTTGGAATTCTTTGTGTTTTATAAAAAGTGGGAAGGTCAGAAAAAGGTGGAGGTGTAGGAACTGAAAGAACTTTGAAAGAACTTCAAATTGAAAAAAGACATGAACTGCAATTATATTTCATATGCCCTATTTAGAAAAACATCTTGAAGCCATCCTCCAGTGTTAAAGGAGGTTATTTGTTGACTAAATTTTTTATCTTTCCATTAATTAGTTATGCTTCAGAACTTATTCATTAAACTCCTTAGCACTTTTGACACACTAAAGAATTACGTGCCTATCGAGAGACTGTTTAGTGGCAAGAATCCAAAAACATGAAACTGCACCTGTTTTTGGATTCAGAGATTCTAATTAATTTTAAAATAACCTCCCTTCTCTACCTTTTAACTGGCAAATGTATCAGTGTAAGAGATAGCAAGGCCTTCTTGTTTCTCCTATCAGACTAATTTAGGCAAGTTCCCATTTTTGTGAGGTGTCCTCAGATGTGAGGGATGTAGGGATTTTGTTCCTCTCTGACCCTTGCAAGATTAAAAGCAAAGAGCATTAAACATGATGGCTTTTGGCATATTTAAATGCCAAAGGCCACAGTTGACAACTAAGACATAACAATCATAAATAATCTGTACACCAAATAACACAGCAGTAAATGTTATAGAGCATAAACCACAAGAGATGCAAGGAGACATAGATAAAACGCATGAATGATAAGATATGTTAACCCACCACTCTCAGTACCAGGGCAAATCAAAAGGATTTAAAAAATACATAAAGTTGGGCGCGGTGGCTGACACCTGTAATCCCAGCACTTTGGGAGGCCGAGGCGGGTGGATCACCTGAGGTCAGGAGTTCGAGACCAGCCTCAACATGGAGAAACCCTGTCTCTGCTAAAAATACAAAATTAGCCGGGCGTGGTGGTGCATGCCTGTAATCCCAGCTACTTGGGAGTCTGAGGCAGGAGAATTGCTTGAACCTGGGAGGCGGAGGTTGCGGTGAGCTGAGATCACACCATTGCACTCCAGCCTGGGCAACAAGAGTGAAACTCCGTCTCAAAAAAAAAAAAAAAAAAAGCCAAAAAGAAAAAAATACATAAAGTTATAAAGACTGAGTCAACTTAATAAAGCAGAACTTAAAAATATACATATATATCTTTTCTATGTATATACCTTTATATATATATATATATATATATATATATATATATACACACACACACACACACATATCAGGGTGTGAAGGGATTATATATTTAATATTTTATATATTTAATATATTATATATTTAATATTTAATATATAATTAAATATTAAATAATATATTATATATATTTAATATTTAATATATATATAATCCCTTCACACCCTGATAATTTTTGTAACTTTTCATTAAGCATGCAATTATTTCAAAATTAAACTATCAAAAATGAGAAGAAGAAGAGGAGGAGAAAGAAAAGGAGGAGGAGGAGGAGAAGAAGAGGAAGAAGAGGAGAATCAGGAAAACAGGTGCTGGTAAGTTACTATTTTCCTCCTCCTTTCTTAAAACATCATTAAAGCATTTTGTATGTTAAACAAACAAACAAAAAATCCTGATCTGATGGGCTTTTGAATGAACTAGTCTTTTTCAGAGCCTATAGAAAAAAAAGAAAGGTCACCAGAGAGTTGTCCGTATAATTTGACTCATTAAGCACAAGATGTGAAAAGTCTCTGAATCCCAAGACTTTTGAGGAGAGAAAACAAAAAGCACAAACTCAAAATAATAAAATGTGACAGATATATGATGAGATGGGTGCAATACCCAGGGGTCCTGTGTTCATTTTTACTGTGTCATTGGGCAAAACAAGTTACCATTTTATTTTAAAATGAAAGGAAAATGCATTTTGTCTGTCTCACTGAGCAAATTGTCTCATTTGAGCAGACCCAGGCTAGAGGCACTGTACCCAGGACTTTCTCCAACCTTCTTTTAGAAAAGGAGTTACCCAAATGAAGTTGTAATGAAGAAAACGGGACAAAGCAAATAATAATGAGTCTACAGCTGAGGTAATTTATCATGAGGGTTATCATGATATTACATTTTCATGTAATACATTTGATATTTTTTTCCTACCCACGTTTGATGTGGACATTCAGGAAAATAAAATACATTTGTTTTGGCCTTGTATTTTATCCTCTTCTTTAAGCAAACAAGAATAGTTTGCTTAGTGTGTATGTATCCTCTTCTTTAAGCAAACAAGAATGGTTTACAGAGTGTAAATATGCTTCATTTTACCACAAAGGATTGCTCTGGTGAAATGTACAACTTTTTATGAAGGGTTATATTTATCTCCTTTATACTCCAGTAAACAAAGCAGAACAAGCACTAACGAGCATTAAACATACCCAGAATGTTGACTCTAAAATGTCGTATTTTCTTCTTGAAAAAAAAAAACAGTTCCTAGAAGAAATCTAACTGTAATTCTAATATTATTTATATGCAGTTAAGGAAAGGCTTACAAACCTTGGTATTCAGTCATTTGCAACCCTGAACCATTTTCTAGAACTCACAATTTTTACAGAACCTGTTTCCCTATGAAGGGTCATTTCTTTTCCATTCTCAATTCTATATTTTTCAAGTAATGGTGCTTTTTGAAGTCAATTTTTCATTATATTGTGGTGGATTTTGCTTTTGTAGTTTTTAAAATCTATCAGTTAATCTTTTACTTTTGAGAATAAGTGGCATTCAAGCTATGGTAGGTTGACCTCAGTAGCTGAAAATCCAATAGTTTAAAAATTGAGCTCATTTTTCATGAGACACAAGCCATGAACAATGTGATCAAAATGAAGTCGACATCCTGCAATTCTAACTTATTTTACCTGGTAAAAAAAAAAAAAAAAGAAATGATTCTCCTCTGACCTCATTATTACTTCCTTTTATATCTGTGGATTTCAGGAAACTGCTGCAGATATTTGAGCAGAAAATGATCTAAAAGGTCATTTGGCAATTTTTTTTTTTTTTTTTTTTTTTGCCAAGCGTATATCCTACACTGTCCCCAAACATGCAACATTTTTTATTTTATCACTTATATATACTGTTACTGCCCTTTTATTGTTGTGGTTGTGGTTAGTACAACTATCTACTGAATTCTAAATTCTAAAATGCTCTAAATTTTAAAATGAATTTATTATTAGCCAAATAATTTTTATGGCCTATTAATATAGAGGACAGAACCAGCTTTATAAACCTAAATTTAATTTACTTATACTGCGATCACTCTGCTATAAAGAGTCAGACTCATTAACCTCCTCCACACTTTCAGCTCACTACTTAGGTTGACCGTGATGAGGGAGAAAGTTCTGGGGTAAAATGATCTATTTTCAAGCCTCCATTCATTTACTAATTGGGAAAGTCACTAAGCTTCTCTGGACCTCACTTGGCTCCTCTCTAAAGAAAAGGGTTGAACTAGACAGGTTCTGTTGCCCTTCTGAGACTAACACCCTTCATCACTACCACGTCAATCATTCCACAAGCCATTTTCACACTTACTAACATGGAGCTACAAGGCACGTTAGGCTGCGACCACCTTTAGTCTAAAAGGTACTGTCCTACTGTTGCCAAAGAAAGTTTAATCAAACTCAGCCCATTAGGTTGTGACTGATACTAATGTTCTCTGCTGAAATAGCATTATTAGTTTTCATTAAGATTCACGTCTCATTAGTGACCCAATTTCCAAAGTTACCAAACAAAGGAAATTTCTCTTTAAAAATGCGAAAAGCAAAATATCTAAAACTGTTACTACGCATTTGCTACTACATTAGGAAAGTTCACAGTACCTAAAATAGCCACCACCTCATCATCCTGGATGACTTCCAAGGATCCTGACACCACAAAGCAGAGGGCATCCACACTTTCTCCAGCATGGTAAATGAGGTCCCCGGGAGCACAGTGAATGGTTTGGAACTCTACCGCCAAGGCGCGCAGACACCCATCGCTGGCCAATCGAAAAGCAGGATGTTCATTAAAAACCTTCCGGTTTAGATGAACACAGATATCAGCTCTCATGTCCTTGGGACAGATGGAGAGGACCTAAAGAAGGTGAGAGATGAATAAGTGAAAAGGAAAGAGGAAGGGGCCACTTCAGAAAAACAATCATCCAACAAATATTTATTGACTATGACTATGTCTGCTACACTGCTACACACCTTGCTGGGTACTGGGAAGGCAAAGGGAACAAGACACAGCTCCGCTCTCAAGGAGGTAATAATCCACTGAGATGGGCTGATGAGCATATGGACCATGACAATGCAGAACTATGTAGTAAATGCTTTGAGAAGAGTATGGATCTCCCCTCAGAAAGAACACAGCCTTGGCTGGGCATGGTGGCTTCTGTAATTCCAGCACTTTGGGAGGCCAAGGCGGGTAGATCACTTGAGCTCAGTAGCTCGAGACCAGCCTGGGCAACATGGTGAAACCCTGTCTCTACTAAAAAGACAAAAAAAACAAAAATTAGCTGGCCGTGGTGGTGCATGCCTGTAGTTCTAGCTACTTGGGAGGCTGAAGTGGGAGAATCACCTTATCCCAGGAGACAGAGATTGCAGTGAGCCAAGGTCGTGCCACTGCACTCCAGCCTGAGTGACAGAGCAAGACCTTATCTCAAAACAAAAACAAAACAGTTTTGAGGTGGTCAAGAAGAGTCTCATAAAAAAGTTAATGTCATTTCATCAAAGAGTCAAGTAAAATAGGGCATGAACATTCATTTTAATCTAGCAGATGTTTCAGAATTTTTTTTATAACTAAATCAAAATTCCACATTGGAGGTGGATTCAGAAAACAAAATCAACAAAAGCACCCTGGCAACTTGACATACTGGCACTGGCAGACTAACTCCACTCTTGATATATTTTTTTCACTCTGAAGATTTTCCTTTTACAAATAAATTCATGTCCAGGAAGGGACAAGGGTATTGACCAGCCTTCTGTAAGGCTTGGGTGGTTGGAAATGTCAGTGCTGGCAGGGTGGGTATGTTATTTTGTATGGCAGTCCTTGTTCATTCTGGTCTCTGACTTCTGAAGACTACTGCAGGCAGTAGCAGAATTCACGCTGTAGGCATCCTTTAAAAGAGGAAGCAAATGGCAGAAGTATGCTTATACAGCAAGGGGTAGAGAGCTTTTATTGGCTACAGCTTTCTGACAGGGTGATTAAAGACCCACATTAAAATGGACATTATCATCATATTTAATCAGAACATCGTGGAGCAAGATGTGATTGCGGAAGTTAATACCACCCATTTTAAAGATGCAAGTGCAAACTCATTTAGAATCCTCCTCAAACCCCCTTTGTAAACTATTCTTTATAGCCAGAAATGATTTTCTTTGATCGGATTTCAATCCCTCAAAGCTGAAGCTAAATTGATTTACCCCATTAAGTTATACTGCATAATATTTTAATAAATATAAAATAGTTTTCTTTCCTCTACTAATTGCATTTTAAGCTTTAAAAAATTTCCTAAGGCTTGAAAATGTCCCCTGACTATTCCTTTTATTTGGGGGTCACTATCAATGAAAACTGGGTTGCTTCCCTGTAGAGAAGACAAGCCCATCATAAATGCAAAAACCATTAATTAAATTATGCTTTCAGTATCCCTTCTCTTATCCTTTCTTAATGCTCTACATACATTTCACATTATTTAATCATCTCTGGGTTTTTTTCATACTCCCTCAAATTTCTATAGGCAGCAGCAATCTGCTCACCCACCTTTCTGAAAAATCTGATCTTTGAGGAAAGGAATGCCTAACACAGCTTTAAAAGTAATTGACGCTGTTTTCACATCAGTTATTTTCTATAAGGCAATGTTTTATTTAATATATAAACCTTTACTGACTTTGGACAATATATTAGTCATTCTATAGGCACTTACTGAGCTTCCACAATGGGTCACATCACTGTGCTAAATCCTCAGAACTAGAAGGATAAGACACTGTGTTTGCCTCAGGTTAGCTAACCAGAAAGTGTGGGAGGTGGGCGTGTAAAGGGACAATTGCAATACAATGAAAAAAGTGGTATGATGGGAGCATGGCCAGAGTGACATAAAAGCATGTGCTGCCTGTGAGTCTTTACTTAGAGGCAGCAAAAAAGGTCAGGCTCAAGAGGACGTAAGTCTGGGTTCAAAACTATCACAACCTTTGTAACCTGGAGCACCTTATTTAATTCCTCTAAACCTCATCTGTGAAATGGGGATAATGATAGTGCTTATATCTTAGGCTTATTGCAGAAATTAAATGAAAGGGCATGAGTTGAGCCTAGTTTAGCCTGGCACATAGCAAGGGCAGAGGAAATACTAGCTCTTATCATCACTACGGAACATCTGTCTTCCTACAGAGTTTATTGTTGCTTAAACTCTCTACAAAAGCAATTTTCTTTTTTCACTTTCCACTCTGTCTGCAGTCTTCATCTGGACAGTTTGACTGGTTTCCAGACAGAATTAAGAAAATATTTCAGCACAAACCTGAAGATATTTTAAGCACTGATTAAGGTTAATATTTTTTTCCCAGTTGAAAATGAAATTAGCTCTAGAAGAACGAAAAAATTTAAATACATACACACATACACAAACATTACACTGAATACCTTAATGGAAAAATAGACTGCTCTATTTTGATCCATTTACCACATAGGACTTTCATTGTTTTCTATTCATTTTGGTAATAGTCATGTTATTTCCTTTTAATAATGTTTTTCAGGATTCATGTTGCAAATGAAATAGTCCAGTATTTGCAATATTCTCTGTTTATTGGCATGTCAAAAGAGGATTTTATTACATTATGAGTACACCTTTCCTTTTTTGTTTCACTTAACATATGACACTAATTGATTTATTATTTTGATTGATGGTATCTACTTATATCCAGATATCAAAAAGTGACAAGGTAAAACTAAATGCTAAAAAGATCAACCAAAGTCACACCCACTGGCAAGCACCTTCCTTCTCCAACCTTAGACAGAGCATGTGTGTTACATGATGTTTTTGTCATCAAAATATAAGTATCTTGTTATTTACTCTGGAAATGAAATGTTAATCACAGTCTTAGCCAAGGCAAAACTTGGTTTTAAGGGATGGAGTAAAATTATCATTCAAGACCTGGCCCACTGGTCTCACTTTCCATGTATTCTGCCTTGAATATCAGATCCAATTTATTGTAGGTAGGTTTCCTAATGAGGATTTCATAGTTACAAACAAATAAAATTATATTTCAGAAGAAAATACTTAGGTTAAAAGTGACTTTTGTTTGTTTTCAGAGTTGTTTGTCCCCTCTTTGCAACAGAATATTAATAAATTAGACTCGTTAAGATGAGCAATAAATTTTCTTGTAAGAGCTATGGTGTCAGAGGCATGTGAACCAGAACAACTCCATCTTGAATAGGTGCTGGGTAAAATGAGGCTGAAAGCTACTGGGCTGCATTTCCAGACAGTTAAGGCATTCTAAGTCACAGGATGAGATAGGAGGTTGGCACAAGATACACCTCGTAAAGACCTTGCTGATAAAACAGGTTGCAGTAAAGAAGCTGGTCTACCAAAACCAAGATGGCCACGGAGTGACCTCTGATTGTCCTCACTACTACACTCCCATCAGCGCCATGACAGTTTACGAATGTCATGGCAACGTCAGAAAGTTATCCAATATGGTCTAAAAAGGGGAGGCATGAATAACCCACCCCCTGTTTAGCATATCATCAAGAAATAACCATAAAAATGGGCAACTAGCAGCCCTTGGGGCTGCTCTATGGAGTAGCCATTCATTTATTCCTTTACTTTCTTAATAAACTTGCTTTCACTTTGTACTGTGGACTTGACCTGAATTCTCTCCTGTGTGAGATCCAAGAACCCTCTCTTGGGGTCTGGATCGGGACCTCTTTCCTGTAACATATTTCTGGCAACCACAGAAGAGACTATAGTGCAGAAACCCTGACCCAACAGCTACCTTTGGGTAAGTGTTGGGGTCCTGTAACATATTTCTGGTGAACTACAGAAGGGACGATACTGAAGAAACCACCCTCCCTACAAAGGAAGCAGACCGCAGCACTGACTGGATAACTTTGGGTAAGTGGTGGGCAACCCAGATAAAGAATGGGATTGGGTTAGAGGCTCAACTTAGGGGAGTTAGAGTCTCTCCCAAGACAGAGTGGGTTAGAGGCACCTCTTAATAAAAGGCAAGGATGCCTGACTGACATTGGGTTCGAGGCCCAACTTAGGAGGGTTAGAGTCCCTTCTAAGATTTAGGGGGTTAGAGGCCCCTCTTGGTAAAGTCCCTCTCAGCTAAGAACAGGTTTGGCACTATGGGATGTTAACTGCTATTCTCTTTGGATTAATCTGCCTTGCTCTCTTTGCTGATGGCTGTGGGTGACAGGGTTAGGCATGTACAGGATTGTGGGATATGGGGAGGTTTTTCCTCCCTGAAAGGGGAAACTTGAGAGCTGACAGGATTGCTGGAAAAGATCCCTTTGCTACCAAGAAGCAGCTGCCTGAACTTTTCAGTGTCACTGCAATGGGAAGGTCTTTCTCTGGCCTCCCTGATCATTTTGCCTTCCCCACACTGCACAGGCAATGCTTTTCTCTCTCTCCTTTCCCTTTCTTATCATTTCTATTACTCAGGGTGACCATCTTGCCCAGAGACCACTTGTTGAAACTCCAAGTCAGAGGTTGGATTAGACTCTGTCAAAGAAAACAAAAAATAAAAAACATGAACCTAAACACAGTAACCCAAATAATAACTCAGAAACTTGCATATGAAAAATCTGACAACTACTCTAGTAACCTTCTGTCTTTCTGTGTAGCTATATATATGTTGTATGTAATGTTTATATAAAAGAGCTCTAATTAATTGGCTGAAACAAAAATAAGCACTTCAATATTCTGAAAGCAAAATAAAAAACTATAATGCCTTTTAGTTCATGTAACTTTAGTAATATTTGCAAAATAAAAACAGCTTTAAAAATTATTAATAAAATAAAAACATTTAGTCTAAATTATGCAGGTCAGATATTAAGTTTGCTAAATGCTTTAAGGTCATAAACTGCTTCTTGAACTTTTAAAAATTGTTAAATTTACCTACCTTAAAGCCATTAGATTATAGATAAGACCTGGGGACATGTGGAATTCGCCATGCCCCCTAGCTATACAAAGATTATAAAGAAAGAGATTTTATATAAAAAAGGATCTTGTACCGTAAATTCTTGTCCTAAAGTAAAATGACTGGTTGTTTAAAAGGAGGGATGTTTAGAGCAAGTCAGAAAGTCCAAGAATGTCTCAGATGGTCTGTGTAAGCTGCGAAAGGATTTGTTAAAGGGAATTTATGCAAAAAATGTTGTACAATTTAAAGGTTGTTAGGCCTCCTAAATGCTTCATAAAATGACACTATAACTCTTACTGTACAACTTGCCTTCTTAAGTAAGGTAAGGCCTAGGGACGTGTGGAGTTAGTCATGCCCCCTAGCTATGCTGGAGAGTTGGTTCTTATCTGCACTTCTGCCTGGTATATCTTAGGCTAGGCTCCACACCTAGTACATGATTAAAATTGCTTACCAACCAGGGTTTTCACCAAAAGTAAAAGTCACTAAAAGTTAATAACATAACATGTAATTGAGACTACTGAAGATACAGTTTTACATGTAAGGTGTGTAAGGAAAGTGGAATGGACTTTTGGTAAAAGATTCTAAGAAGGCCTGGGAATGTGGATTTTTTTGTGTGTAAAGGGTGTTTTAAGTTAGATAGAATAAAGCTAAAGATTTAAACAGGTTGTGGAAGGTTTATAAAAATTAACTGTAAAAGATTCTGTGTGTAAACATATTGGCTAAAGTTAAAGAGGTATTATTCAGTTTTTCTGTAAATTAAACATTGGAATAGAAGCACAACAGGTTTTTCTTAGAGCACTGATCTGCTCTTTCACAAAAAAATGTAAAGGGTTATAAAAGGTTTATAAGAATCTAACCTTATGGTTAAACATTAAAATTGAGTTAATATGTCTATAAAGTTTTATGAAAAATTCAGTTTAACATTAATAGTACATTATTATAAAGGTGAAGTTTGGCTTATTTGGTATAAAAATCATACAGGAAGCATTATCAAATGTGAAATGGTGTTTTGCTTTCTTTGGACTGTATTTGCATAAATATGTTACTGGTATATGTTCCAAAGTTATGGGAAACTCCTGTAATTCTAATATGACTTAGTGTATGTTATTAATAATTATAATTGTTATGTAAAACTGTGTATGCCACAGAAGTAACCAAAGTTCCTTATCAATTGTGGCTTTAATTGTGGCTGTCCTAAAACTTTTTATCAACCACAGTCAACTGTTGCCTTGTTTTAATCCTCTTTAGAAGGTGGTTTGTAATAAACTATAGAACTCTAGCAGGTGTTCTTAAACACAGGTTTCTAATACCTTTGGAAATTGTAACATTAGAATAGAGAAAATAACTTTCAGAACTCTCATGAAGAGCTGGAACGTTCATGAATATCAAACAGAACAGGAGTTAATTGAATTAACTTAACCAATAGAAAACTTTTTAACTTTGCTTAAAACGTTGCTGAGCCTTTGTTTTGTTTTTCAGAGTCAAAGAATCTTTTCTTTTGAGCTATTTACAGCTTGTAGCAATTGAGCAAAGTATACTGCTGTGAACAAAATTTAGAACATATTTGTTTCTCTCTAACTGATTTCTCCAGAATTTGGAAACTAGTTATGAGTATTCTTAACTTATGGCAATATAGTTATTTGCTTAAGTGCAATAAGAATCTGTTTTATTTTGTAACAGGACACAACTGGAGAAATTGGTTATTTTACCAAGACTTTGACTGGAATGGTTTGCTTTCCTTTAAGGAATCAAACTTGACTTGTAGAGCCAATAAAAGCCCTTTGGGGAACTAGCCTCATACCTTGCCTACACAGTCCCTTTACAGGGTTTCTGACCTATGGTAAGTAAAGAATGTCACTTTCTCACAGGTCCAGGAGCCACAGGTTATCGTGGAACCTCAAAAGGAGAGGAATTTACTCAACTCATAGGTATTTGAGGGTACAAACCCATGGCAGGGCTTGGCTTTAAAAAAGTCTTATATGAGATTCCTTATGAAACAGAGTTCTATCAAAGCCAATTAAGAAGCTTATGTGAAATATAATTATTCTTGCTGAACTTTATACAAATTATCACGCCAAGTCTAATAAAGCAAATCAGTCTTACCGGAATTTGTCTTTAGTAAAAATGAGAAACTGGAGAGAGAAATATTATTTTTCAAGAACTATGGTACACGTATTACTAAATTCTAGTCTCAGTAGTTGTTTTTAAGTTTGTTTCTGCAATTTAGGCTAACCCTGCTCATTCCTGTGAACCAACCAATGATCTCTGACTGCTGTTTAGAAGAAACAAGAGGGATGGGTAATATAAAAACCTGGATCAGTATTCTAATTCTGGGCATATTACAATCAGCTAACAAGCCCATATCAGCTTAGTTCCAACAGTTGCCTAGTTCATGAAAAGTCTTCTAATTTAGTTTACCTGGAATAACTTTATTCATTTTGCTTTGCCCTTGTGGAATATATTACTGTTATACTCTTTGTGTAGGAATACAGAACAAGCTTACTGAATGATTCCTTAAACTAAACACTTATCAATCTTCCAGATATCACCTCTTGTCGAAACTCAAGAGTTATAAATGGCCCTCGCCATACTGATGTTTTCTGACTAAGCTCCTCTTTACCTGAACACAAGAGACCCTAATAGTTAGGCAGGAATATCATCACCCCTATTAAGCCTGAAGACATTACAGAAGGTGGATCTTCATCCCTCTGCAACCCTTATGATTAAGGGTTCTCTTATAAAGGGGAGGGGGAAATGTCAGAGGGATGCGAACTAGAACAAGTCCATCTTGAATAGGAGCTGGGTAAAATGAGGCTGAGACGTACTGGGCTACACTTCCAGAGAGTTAAGCCATTCTAAGCCACAGGATAAGATAAGAGGTTGGCACAAGATACAGGTCATAAAGACCTTTCTGATAAAATAGCTTGCAGTAAAGAAACTGGCTAAATCCTACCAAAACCATGATGGCCACAAGAGTGACCTCTGATCATCCTCACTACTACACTCCCATCAGTGCCATGACAGTTTACAAATGCGATGTCAATGTCAGGAAGTTACTCTATATGGTCTAAAAAGGGGAAGCATGAATAATCCACCCCTTGTTTAGAATATCATCAAGAAATAACCATAAAAATGGGCAATCAGCAGCCCTCAGGGCTGCTTTGTGTATGGAGTAGCCATTCTTTCACTCCTTTACTTTCTTAATAAACTTGCTTAATAAGTCACAGTTTGTAATGTGGACTCGCCCTGAATTCTTTCTTGCATGAGATCCAAGAACCCTCTCTTGGGGTCTGAATCAGGACCGCTTTCCTGTAACATATTTCTGGTGACCACAGAAGGGACTGTAGTGCAGAAACCCTGACCCAACGGCTATCTTTGGGTAAGTGTTGGGGTCCTGTAACAATGACAGTATGTAAGAAACCATTTTTCAGAATTCTGCAAAACAACCCTGGGGAAAAAAAAATGAATGTCATGGTCTGAAAAAGAAAACCTTTTTCAAATTCTTTATGATATTCACTAAACCCAAAGTCAAGAGGTATCTTAGCAAATATTCTCAAGCTCCAAAGATGTAACCTCCACATTTTGACTACAGAACTCTTAGTGAAACACATATATTATCATGTCATCTCTGTTTTCTTAAAATATCTGATGGCTTGCTTCCCCACCAACTACAGCCAAAGTCCTAACCAAGCATACAGGGCTCTTTATGGTGGAATCCTGCTCCAATCTTACTACCGTCCTCCAACCATGCCTTCCAATAACATCACCTTTCTCACCACCTAAGCTTGCCATGTTCTCCCATTACTCTTTGCCTTCACACATGCTTTTCCTTTTTACTGGCATGTCCCATCTTCCCTTTCTCTGTCTAGTCATCACTGATTTATCTGTCAAAGCACAGATTATCCTTCTTTCTACCATGAATACAGTATAGACACAGCTTTCTCATAGAATTTAGTAATACATAGAAGAAAATGAGAGTAAGAGGTGTTGTAATTTGTTGTTGTTGTTTTTAAATAATAACCAGAAATAGTAACACAGAATTATCAATAGATATTTCAGACTTGGTTTCAACCATAAAATCATTCTTTACTTTTTTTAATGAACACCTTCCTTTATGCTCAACATATAAATTAGAAATAAGCAGAATTATGCTGACAGAAGCTTCGCTGGAAAGGCAGACTCCCAGGCAGGATTGCTTAGAGCACATTCAGTCATTCATTTAGCTGATGATTATTAAGCACTGGTTACGTGTTAGTTATGTGCCTGGTACTATACAGGCCCTCCAGATCCATCAGCAAAAACTCTTATTGAGCCTGCTCCCCTGAAGCATCCAATTAGGCATGGTTTGAAAAGTCACTGTTCCTAGTTCACTGCCATTTTACAGATAAAGTGAATGTGTCTCATAAAGGTTATGTGACTTGCTCAAGTCCTCTCAACAAATTACTAGCAAAACCCCAAACTCTTGAGTTCCAGCTATTAAGCTACGCTCCTTCGTGAAGCTCAACCAGGAAAAAAATATAATATCTGGTACCTTCTCATGTTTTCTGGTTCTCTGTACTAAAAAAATTAAAATGCTGATTTTTGAAAATTATTTAAGGTCCAATTGATCAAATCTATAGTTTATTTATTAGGAAACCATAAATGCCCCGCCACTGCCATAGAACAGCCTAAATTTCATTGCCAATTTATTTCCATCTTTAAGCACTTTTTAATTTCAGCTCCAACAAATGTATCACATACTTCAATATGTTGATAAAGACATAGGATTCACTGTTAAGTTGTTATATCACATTACTACTCACCCAGAGGAAGACATCTTATTTGAAACACAAGTTTTATTGTATACATGAAAAGGACCTGAGCCAGAGGTTAGCATTTGATAAATGTTACTTTCCTTGGGTCCCTTCCCTCTATCACTTTCATGCACTATGGTATCAATAATGTCACAAAACCTTAGAAGATAAGGGAGTCTAAATATGATAATTAACAGAGAAGGCAATAAATTAAACCAAAATCCTCTAAAGAAATGGTTGACTAGAGAGAGTCAAAGAAAGAAGGCTTTATCTTCTCACTCGTTCTTTGAATATACTTAAAATGCTTTTTAATATTTATTATATAAAATATGGAAAATAAAAATCATAGAGGAAAAAACTCTTCCATTATTTACACTTATCTATGTGTAGATACCATCGTTACAAAACTTCAAACTCTACTATTTTATTTCTTGCTATAATGACTCATTATCACATTATAATCAATTCCTATGCTATGAAATACATATTTTAAAACCAAATTTCAATCCTTGTACAATATCCCATCAAATATTTATGGCACAATTAATTTAACCATTACATTATAATTGGATATCAAGATTTCCAGTATTCCCTTTCATAAATCAAGTTACAACAAATAACCTTGTACCTATATCAGATTGTCTAAGCACAAATTTTTAGAAGAAAAATTAGTAGGTAAAATGCCAAAACATCTTTAAGGCTGTTGCCAAACTGCATCCTAGAAAAGGTAAACCAAATTACACTCTAACCAACTGTGTATGAGAGTATGTTGCATGTTCTTAATAATATCTCTCTTTAATCTTCCAAATGCATTTGAAAGAGGGATGGCAATTTCACCTGAAACAAAAGTAGAATTGTATAGTGTAATGAGGCAGAATCTGGGAGATCTTTAGTCTTAGTGAAGTTATTCTACTACCACTACCCTCTAGCTCAGTGTTCACAGACTGAACACTATTAATGAAGCTATAACAAATTTCTAATGTGCAAATGGGGATAATGAGGATAATTTCACTTTAAGTGCCTGAAGGTAGTAAACTAAACAAGGCTTCTTCTTGAGGTCTTTTACTGCTCTAAGTTATTGTATTGATTATCTATAAAATCCTTCTTCAGGAATAATTCAGTATCAGCTATTTCTAATAATAATGAATAAGTTAAATGATCCCTCTATTTTTAGGACAAAGGAATAAATGCATTAATGACATTTTGATAGACATTGGAGCTACCACCAAATCTCTCCTTCTTTTGACACAATTAAGTTATGCACTGTTAATTAATCTCTCTTCATGAATCTAATGGAGCTGGTATTATTAAGTCAGTGAAAGCCAGTGGAGAGAGTCAGGCAAGTGACATTTGCACATAAAATATTTTTACAATCCTTCCTGGGAATGAGGAGCTTAAGTAGCTCTTTACAGGAATTTAATTCTCATTCATTTCTTGGGAAGAAAAGAAAGCTCACCTTTATATTTAAAGGAAATAAAAAGTATAACCAGGCAGTCATGCAGTCATGCCAAGCAAAAGGAAGTTGCTCTCTGGATGTCACTCTGACAATCTCTAGGGGTGTCAAAACCTCCAAGGAAATAACCCAGGAACAATGTAGTGAATAAAACCAAACCAAATTAACTTCCATTATTTAAAAATAAAAGGTCATATTTAGCAATAAAAGGCTGCCGCAACCAGTGAAGTATTATAGGTTAAACCTCATTGGTTTCACTTTAGAGATAAAGTTCCTGTGACTAGACTTCATATATAAAAATGAGACCTAAAGTTTTTGCTTCAGAATCATCGTGAACCAATTCTACCAGGTTTTTCACAATATTAGTTTTGCAGTAACAACAAACAGCAATTGTTACCATTTTTTAACTTGTTAGGCAGCAAATGTCTTGGGCCACTGGCTTTCCAAAGGCAGGGCTTTGATGAAATTTAGAGCTTCTACTGTGCTTTGCTCTTAATCTCGTGTCTTTACTGTCTTACAGGCAGATATTTGACTAAATAACAGTGCTTTTACATACCTGTGAAAGTATTTTCTAAAATTAGAAATATACTTTTAAGTGTATTTACTGCCCAGAAAAATACAAACAATATTGTTTTCTACTGGCCATGATCTTTTTAGTCCCCATGACAAGTGATGTTCCCATCCTTAAAAGAATGAGCCAGTCAGGAGCTTGAGACCAGCCTGGCCAACATGGCAAAACGCTATCTCTACTAAAAATACAAAAATTAGCCGGGTGTGGTGGCAGGCACCTGTAGTCCTAGCTACCCGGGAGGCTGAAGCAGGATAATCATTTGAACCTGGGAGGTGGAGGTTGCAGTGAACCAAGTTCACACCACTGCACTCCAGCCTGGGCGACAAAGCGAGACTCCATCTCAAAAAAAAAAAAAAAAAAAAAAAAAAAAAGAATGAGTCACTTCATACGAAGTGGGAGTGAGGTGCTTTGGAAAATCATCTGGCTATATTGTAACAGTTGAACATGCATATATTCAAAGACCCAAGAATTTCACTTGCAGATATATATGCAAGAGAAATGTCTGTATATATGCAGCGAATCTTGTGAACTACAGTGGGTATAGCATATATACAGTGGGTATAGCTCCAAACTGAAAATTACTCAAAGATTCATTAATGTTGAAATAGATAAATATTAATACATTGTGGCACAGTCACATAATGAACCGCTATTCAGCAATGAGAATGAAAGAAGTAACAACTATATATAGGATAAATCCATGGATCTCAACAACATAATGTTGACTGAAAAAGAGCTTGATACAAAAGAGTATACTCTATATCCATTTATATAAAGTTCATAAATGCAAAACTCATTTCTGGTGCTGAAGGTCAAGGTTTACATTACTCTTGAGGGCCAGAGTTGGTTAATTCCTGAAGAAGACATGGGATATAGACTTCTGGGGTTCTGATAATAAGGTTTTAATATCCTGGCTACACATGTGTCCACTTTGTGAAATTTTATCAAACTATTTATTTATAATATAATTTGTTCACTTATCAGTATTGTGTAATATCTCAATTTTTTAAATTTACTTTTAAAAGTTTAGTTTAAAAAGGAATATTTAAATATTCTCACCACACACACAAAAAATGGATAACTGTATGAAGTAATACAGGTTAGTTTGACTGTAGTGATTATTTCATTTTACATATATATACACAAAACATCACACTGTATACCTTAAATATATGCAATTTTTGTTTGTAAATTATACCTCAATGGTGAAAAAAAGTTTACATTATAAACAAAGTTACCTATTAAACAAACAGGTAGTATTTAAAGAGAAAAAATAAATACATGAAACAGAAATTAGAGATGCCAAATAAATTATTTCTTGGAATGACTGTGATTTTGAAAGTTGATGTTTAAATCTACCAGTCTTCCAATAGAGAGAGCAAAGTAAAGTAAGCTGTCTTTCCAAATTATTTATACAATTTAAGACATATACACACACACACAAAACACCAACTGTAGAAAGTAAAGGTAGTCAAAATAGGTCACAGAGTAGTAAATGAAGTAAAGAATATATTGATTGATTATATTTTTTATATTACTTCTAAATCCAAAAAGAATTTGAGAGTTGATGATATAAAAGAATATATATATATTCAGATACATACATACATATTCTCATATGCCATATGTGTGTATATTCATGTGTCTGTGTGCATATAGATTTTTTAAATCAAGTATATATAAAATAACAGCTACAAAGTTATCTTGAAAAGATTGGGAAATTATTAAGTGTAAGAAAAGCTAAACAAGATAAAACAAAATATAGTTCAGCAATTGAAATCATATTCAAACATTTTTTCACAACACTAACACTTACATAGGTTATAGATTTATATAAGTATATCAGTGTGTATATGTATACATGTACATATATCAGCGTGTATGTGTGAAAAAATATATATATATCAGTGTATGTATGTGTAAACTGACTATGTAAAATAAAATCAGAAATCTTTCAAAGAGTACAAGCTCTTCCTTTCACTCTCCCACTATGCTGACACTTAACAAAGCAGACCCTGATCGATATGTTTTCATTTAGTAAAGCCTGTTACATTATTAGTTATAGTTGAAATAGGATAGCAATATTTGACTGAGCTTTCTGGTAAATTAAACTCTTCATTATAAGTAAAGTTTGCCTCAGGAATTTAGTCCTCTGGAACCACTGAAATAGACAAAAAAGTATAGTTATTTAAATATTTATATGCACAAGTATGCTTCCTAGAATTTTCCATGGCAGTAATGCATGCATAAATAATATATAAGAAACAACATATGCACCATAATAAATATAATTGACATATAGTAGATATAGCAAATACATATTTGACATGTAGCTGATAGGATGCTGGCTATTCCCATCAAGTGAACCATTTCCATAAGCTCTCTTCACTCTTTTTCATTCTTTTTTCTTCTCAAACCGAATATTTTCAAATGACCCATCTTCAAGTTCACAGATTCTCTCTTCTTCCTGACCAAATATGCAGTTGAATTCTCTATTGCATTTTTCACTGTGTTCATTGTATTCTTAAGCTCCAGAATTCCTGTTTGGTTCTTTTTTGTGACTTTATTTATTGAACTTCTTATTTTGTTCACGTATTACTTTTCTGATGTCTCTGAGTTCTGTGTGTGTGTATCTATATATATATTATATATTATATATAATTATATATGACATAATATATTTATTATAATATATAATATATATATACACACATATACATAATATATAATATATAATATACTATATATTATATATCATATATCATATATTATATATTATATATAATATAATACATATATTATAGTATATCATATATATATAATATATATATATACACACACACACAACTCGGAGACATCAGAAAAGTAATACGTGAACAAAATAAGAAGTTCAATAAATAAAGTCACAAAAAAGAACCAAACAGGAATTCTGGAGCTTAAGAATACAATGAACACAGTGAAAAATGCAATAGAGAATTCAACTGCATATTTGCTCAGGAAGAAGAGAGAATCTGTGAACTTGAAGATGGGTCATTTGAAAATATTCGGTTTGAGGAGAAAAAAGAATGAAAAAGAGTGAAGAGAGCTTATGGAAATGGTTCACTTGATGGGAATAGCCAGCAGGCTATCAGCTACATGTCAAATATGTATTTGCTATATCTACTATATGTCGATTATATTTATTATGGTGCATATGTTGTTTCTTACACATTATTTATGCATGCATTACTGCCATGGAAAATTCTAGGAATATATTCTATATAATAATATATATTCTAGGAATATATTCTATATAATAATATATTCTAGGAATATATTATATTCCTATATATTCTAGGAATATATATATATATTCTATATATATTCTAGGAATATATTATATATATTATATATATATAATGGACATATATATACACATACATACATATACATATAATAGCCATAAATATAAATATAAATATAAATATATATATATGGCTATTACTCAAACTGGAAAAGCATGGAATCTTGCCATTTGTGAAAACGTAGAATGAACCTTGAGGACATTGAGCTAAGTGAAATAAGCCAGATGAATAAAGACTAATACTGCTTGATCTCACCTATATGTGGAATCTATAAAACTCAAACCCATAGAAACAGGGTAAAGGGTGGCTACCAGGAGCTGGGGGCGGGGGGGGGGTGGAAGAAATGGGGAGATGTTTGTCAAAAGATACACACTTGCAGTTATAAAATGAATAAGTTCTAGAGACCTAATGTGCACCTTGTTGACTGTAATTAATAATAACTGTCACGACACACACAGAGAACAAAGGTAACTGTGTGAGATGATAGATATGTTAATTAGCTTGCTTTTGGTAGTCATTCACATATATATCAAATTCTCACATTGCACACTTTGAATACATATAATTTTTGTCAATTATACCTCAATAAAGCAGAAAAATAAAAAATAATTTTCTAACATAAAAATTTCGAAAGGTTCTAAAACCATTAAGTATGAAAAAGATAAATTAAAATCATAATAAAATACCAATACACACATCACAGTGGCTAATATGTAAAAGGATGACAATGTATCAAGTCTTGAAGAACATGTAGAACATCCAAAACCCTCGGGTATCCCAGTAGAAATGTCAAATAGCATACCACTACTCAAAACTCTTTGGTAATTTTCAATAAAACTAAACATCAACCAACACTATAACCCATCAAACCACGTCTTAGGTATATACACTAAAGAAGTGTGTAGATATGTTATTAAAAAGATATATACAAGAATTTCACAACATTTTTGTTAATAACAGCCAAAAATTAGAAGCAACCCTAATGTCTATCAGTCATATAATGAACATATAACCCCATTATATTTACAAATTAAATGCTATACACACCGTATGATTCCACTTATATGAAGATCCATGTCAAAATAATGGTTACAGGAAACAACCTAAATGCTTACCAAATAATGAATCGGTAAATAAGATACAGGAAATCCATACAAAAGAATATTCTTTATTTATTTATTTTATCTATTTATTTTTTTTGAGACGGAGTCTCGCTCTGTCACCCAGGCTGGAGTGCAGTGGCACAATCTCAGCTCACTGAAAGCTCCGCCTTCCGGGTTCACGCCATTCTCCTGCCTCAGCCTCCCGAGTAGCTGGGACTACAGGTGCCCGCCACCACGCCCAGCTAATTTTTTGTATTTTTCGTAGAGACAGGGTTTCACCTTGTTTAGCCAGGATGGTCTCGATCTCCTGATCTCGTGATCCGCCCACCTCAGCCTCCCAAAGTGCTGGGATTACAGGCATGAGCCACCGTGCCTGGCCAAGAATATTCTTTAGATATAAAAATATAAAGTACTGATTCATGCCACAATATGGATGAACTTTGGAAACAGGTCAAGTGAAGGAATCCAGTAACAAAAGACCACATATTATATGATTCCACTTATATGAAATGAGAAGAATAAACAAATCCATAGACACAGAAAATAGAACAGTGGTTGTCAGGGGTGCAGGGGAGGTTGAAATAGAAAGTAACTGCTTATGGGAATGGGAATTCTTTGGGGGATGATGAAAATGTTCTGGAATTAGATAGTGGTGATTGTTGCATAACCTTGTGGAAATACTAAAAACTACTAAATTGTACATTTTTAAATAATGAATTTTATAATATGTGAATTATATCTCAATTTTTAAAATACTGGCTACTTCAGGGAAAAGAGAAGTAATTGCCTGAACAAGGCATGGAGGAGGCTTCAGAGGACATAAAAATACTTTTTAAAATCTTGATCCTAGTAGCAGTTACATGGTATATACATATGCAAAAATTTATTAATCTGCATACTTATGACTTGAACACTTTACATGTGTGCACGTGTATATACCTTTCTATGATAAAATACATGAAAAATTATTACTGTTACTTTCTCCAACCACTAAAAATATTGACTTTAGGCAAATTTGATCAAAATTAATTTGCACTATCTGTAGAGAAGAACATCTCATGAGCCATAAGTACTTCGTTTCATTTAACAACTACATGGGCCTGGTATAGAGTGTCTACTATATGGGGGACATGTATAGGAGGTTGCATTTAAAAATGGCTCCAAAAAGTTTCCACATGCAGGTTACTTGCTTATCTCACTAGGAAGACAAGACAAATCATTGGCATTTTGCAACAGGAAGCCAGCTTCAGGGGAAAATATAGGCAGCAGCTCTGAGGGGGGTATATAAAAGGAATGCTTGGGGAACAATGAGTTGGTTTACATAGGCCAAAGCAAAGTGAAACTAATCAATTATGCAATTATTTAATTAACTTTATGAATTGTGAAACCTCTATCTTCATGTGGTTAATTCAGCTTTTCTTTATTTTTTTGTCATTCCATTAAGTAATTTATTTTGTTATATACTTTTTTTTTTTTTGAGATGGAGTCTCACTCTGTCACCCAGGCTGGAGTGCAGTGGGGGTTTGTTGTACAGATTATTTCATCAGCCAGGTATTAAGCCTAATACCCATTAGTTATTTTTCCTGATCCTCTCCCTTCACCCACCCTCCATCTTCCACTAGGCCTCAGTGTGTGGTGTTCACCTCTATGTGTCCATGTGTGCTCATCATTTAGCTCTCCCTTATAAGTGAGAACATGCAGTATTTGGTTTTCTGTTTCTGCCTTAGTTTGCTCAGGATAATGGCCTTGAGCTCCATCTATGTCCTTGAAAACGACATGATCTCATTCTTTTTTATGGTTGCATAGTATTTCATGGTGCATATGTACCACATTTTCTTTATTCAATCTATCATTGATGGCTATTTACATTGATTCCATGTCTTTGCTATTGTGAATAGTGACAATGAACATATACATGCATGTGTCTTCCTAATAGAATGATTTATATTCTTTGGGGTGTATACCCAGTAATAGGATTACTGGGTCAAATTTATATTCTTTGGGGCATATATGCAGTAATGGGATTACTGGGTCAAATGGTATTTCTGTTTTTAGGTCTTTGAGGAATCACCACACTGTCTTCCATGATGGTTGAACTAATTTACACTCCCACCAACAGTGTATAAGAGTTCCTTTCTCTCCACAACCTCACCAGCATCTATTACTTTTTGACTTTTTAATAATAGCCATTCTGACTGCTGTGAGATGGTATCTTGTTAAATTTGCAAGAAAAAAAAAACCCTTAAAAAAGCGGGCAAAGGACATGAAAAGACACTTTTCAAAAGATGACATATGTGCAGCCAACAATCATATGGGAAAAAAAAAAGCTTTTCTTAAATAACAGGTACATGATAATGATTTCTATAATTAAATATAGGGTACATTATCTTAACTAACTTTGTATCAATGCTATTGATAAGACTTGAAAACAGAACAGTAAACACTGCTAGTTGTTTACTTAGTAATATATGTGCTATCATAGTAATTAAAATGCTAGGAACCAAAAATTAGCAAACTTTTCTTATTTGCATGAGCCCATTTTGTAAACACAGGGGAAATATATTTTTTTAACTTTAAGAAATGCCTTTAAAGCTCATCAGTATTCTACATGTTAGACATCAAACTATCATCTTTTTGAAAGAGCATATTATGCTCACATTATTTAAAGGGGCTTTAGGGCAATAAGCCCTAACTTGAATTTTAGTTTATGTATTATTTACATTGCTGTCTGTCACCAATGTCTTCAGAGCTGAAAACCTTGACATGTCAGTAATATTATTTATTCAGACATAATTTTCATTATCCATAAAAATAGCCATGAATATCAGAATAAGTAAAAATATCCATGAGTAGCAAAAAAGCTGTCACAGAGTATACAGATTTCATATGTAAAAGAGACCCTCAAGCATCTCTTAAAGCCTCGAATAATTCTATCCGTCTCAAATCCTGCAAACATGATCTACTTTGTGCCCATGGCAGATCGAAGACAGCAAATTGATAAAAATGTTCCTGGAGGTGAATGTACTGATGGTAAGGAAAAACCATAGACCACAGCCTAATGCCAAAGAAATATTCAAAAAGCTAAAGCATAATAATGAACATGTGGAAACCAAAGTTAAAAACACAATAACATTTTCAATGTGTCCACAGAAAATGAAATACTTAGGTATAAATGTAATAAAATATGGACAAGAGCTGTATCCTAAAAATTACATTTGATGAAATTGATGAAAGAAATCAAGGAATTTGTGGAGAGATATACCATGTTAATAAATTGGAAGGCCTAAAACAGTAAATATGTGAATTGTCCCTAAATTAACCTTTACATTTATGCAACTCTTATAAAAATCCCAGAAAATTTTCTTTGTAGATATTGATAAGCTTATTCTAAAATTCATACATTAAGGCACTACACCTAGAAGACCTAAGACCACTGAAAAACGATTAAGGAGGAGAAATCACTCTATCCAATGTTAGGCATACCTTATAGCTATAGTAATTAAGACAGCGTGATGTTGGCAGAGGGACAGACACATAGATCGATGGAACAGGATAGAAAACCCAGAAATATACGAACACAGATATGCTCAACTAAGTTTTTACCAAGGAGCAAAAGCATTTTAACAGAGGAAAGATAGTATTTCAACCAACTGTGCTGGAGAAATTAGACATCATCTAGCAAAAAGCAAACAATCAAAAAAGCTTAACCTCAACCTAACCCTCAAACCTTACATACACATTTTCAAAAATGTATCAGGACTTAAGTGTACTACGTAAAATGAAAAAAAAAAAAGCTTTTTAGAAAAAGAGAAGAAAATATTTAGGACCAGGGCCAGTTAGAGTCCTAAACCTTGACACCAAATGTACAATCCATAAAATGAATTTTATCGATCATTTTCATAGATAGAGTAGGTACACACATTAAAAGAAATAAAAAAGAACACCAAAAATTTAATCCTTTAAAAAACCATACAGTGCAAATACTATTATCTCTATTTCACAAAGGTTAATAACACATCCATGGTCTGGGTGAATTTAAAGTCCTCTTTCTCTTTCTATAACAGCATTCCTTCTGGATACCGAAATAATAAACAGAAATTTATTCTAGGTCCAGTTGTAATGGTTGGAGGTGTACCTGACTGTAGAATCCTGGTCTAATTCAGCATGCTCTCCAGTATGGTTCTCACAACTCCACCTGGCTCTTTTGGAAACATTTCCTGAAACACCCTCAAATTGTGACCCTGGACTCCTCTGTGGAGTCCACCCTATCCTACAACACTTCTATCAATTTATAGCAACATGTCCACCTGTCCCTTGTTCCAACTTTTCTAACCTTTTGATATTATTTCTGTTCCTTGAATTGACCATTGATCTTATCCTACTCACTTCCATAATAAGTATAATCATTTTCTGCACTTAGATTATCCCTTTTCAAAAGTCAAAATTTTTCTGTTTCAGAGTAATTGAATCAGAAAGCTCATACGTTGCCCTGATATGAGGTACAGATTGTCATGCTACACCTTATTAGAACACTGAGAGATTGGGGGTATGAGTAATGGAGTCATGGTGAAATTAATACCTCTAAACACCCAGCAGTCAAATTCATGCACAGTCTCTGTTAGCAGCAGTTCATTAACTTAATTATGATCCCCAAACCACTGGCCATCCTCAACACTTCCACACTATCCATTTAACCCCTCCTGTCTTCACTTTTTGAAAGGCCAGCAGAAATTCCTATTGGTCATTATTATAAACACTTCAGATTATTCTTTCTCCATCATGTCATCTCTGATTTACTCCTTTCTGGCTAGATAACATCACATAATTCTGCTGAATGGTTTTGCTTTAAAATGATGAGTATAATCTTAAAATTGGCATTCATCATTATCTAGAATTACTATTATATTTCTCTGACATTTATGCATCCCTGCTTGTCAATATGACTATTTCATACGTTTTCCCCTTTCTTCAATCGTCCCCTAAATCTACTCATTATTTCCTCTTATTTGTTATTTAAAAACAATAGAAGCTGGCTTTCTTTCAGCTTAATGATCTGCCTTGCAGCAAACGAATCTTTCTATGCAGAGCAACTATAAACCTTGATAAAACACAAAAAGCAAAGAAAAAAACTTAAAAAAAATCTGAAAACATCAAACATACAGAAAAACATCCAGGATTTAACCAATCCCAGAGAGAAAAAAAAATTCACCAAGATGAGCCCCAAATTCTGTTTCATTGTTTCCCTATAGACTATATTTACTAATTTATAAGTGATGCAGACATAGTTTCAGATGCTGAGCAAAAATTTCAGCAGTTCAGGGCTACCAAGACAACCAATGCTTGAGATTCCAAGATTTTCAAGAAAAAGAAACCACAGAGACATGAGCAAGAGTCTGAATACTTTTCCCCTAAAGGCGTTCACTCATTCTTAAGCACCACAGGTCAAAACGTGGTAAAACTAAGCAGTTTATGGAAATCTTACTGTGCTGAAAATACAAAGTTTGGAGTTCAGGGCCTACAAGGTAAGAGGAGCATTAGTAAACAAAGTTTTAGCTGGGATTCCTGAAATATTACATGCAAAATAGAATACTTCAGTACTTCAAAAAACGCTTTTTTTTTACTTTAGCAATAAAAGTTTTATATATTGAAACATTTTTCACCTTAAAAAGAACATGCTTAATTTAAAAGTCCACAATTGTGAAGATTTATTTTTTATGATTATTACTTTATTCTTTTCTACTTTTATTTTACATTCAGGGGTACACATGCTGTTTTATTACTTGGGTATATTGTGTGATGCTGAAGTTCAGTAAACGAATGATCTTGTCACCCAGGTACTGAGCACACTATCCAATAGTTAGTTTTTCAACCATTGTCCTTCTCCCTCCCTGTCTCCTCTAGTAGTCCCCAGTCTATTGTTGCCATCTTTACGTCCATGAGTACCCAATCTTTTGTTTCCACTTATAAGTGGAAACACCTCTGGTTTTCTGTGTTAATTCACCTAGGATAATGGCCTCCAGCTGCATCCATGTTACTGCAAAGGACACGATTTCATTGTTTTTTTTATGGCTGTATAGTTTCCCATGGTGTATATGTATCACATTTTCTTTAATCCACCATTGATGGGCACTTAGGTTGATCCCATGTCTTTGCTATTGTGAACAGCACTGCAATGAACATATGGGTGTACGTGTCTTTTCAGTAGAACGATTTGTTTTCTTTTGCATATATACCTAGTAATTGAAATTGCTGGATGGAATGGTAGTTCTGTTTTAAGTCCTTTGAGAAATCTCCAAACTCCTTTCTACAGTGGTTGAACTAATTTACGTTCCCACCAACAGTATGGAAATCTTACTGTGCATATATGTATATATGTGTTTCCTGTTCTACGAAGCCTTGCCAGCATCTGTTGTTTTTGACTTTTTAATTATAGCCATTCTGACTGATGTGAAATGGTATATCATTGTGGTTTTGATTTGCATTTCTCTGATGATAAGGGATGTGGAGTATTTTTTTCATATTTTTTTTTGACCACTTGTATGCCTTCTTTTGAGAAATCTCTTACTACATTAAACTAACCGACACCTAGTCTAATTTCCTTCCAGAAGACAAAGAAAAATCTCTCTGGAGAAAGGTGACTTCATCAAGAGTCACATCACTTTTTCATATTCAGCATCTAATAAAAATTTAACAGGCAAACTAAGACAGGACCAAGAGAAAAAATAGGCAATACAAACACATCCATAGGTGATTAACATATTGAACTTGTCAGATTATTGCTTTTTAAAATATAGTCTATATATTTCCAGATGGAAAGGTTTCTCTTTCTTTCTTCATTCATTCATTCTTCCTTTCTTTTTTCTTTCTGTCTCTTTGTTCCTTTCTTTCTTTCTCTCTTACTTTGTCTCTCTTGCTTTTATCCTTCGTTCTCTTGCTCCTTCCCTTACTTCCTCCCTCCTGCCTTCCTGTTTCCCTTTTTTCTACTATAATGAGAGAACATGCTTTCATTTGTTCTGCCTAATTGAAATTTTTGAGGTTCTCGTTGTGATCAAATATACAGTTTAAAATTTCCATATTTATTTGAAAGGAACTTTATATTCTATATTATCAGAGTGCAAATTTAGGTATCTATCAATAAGCTGTAGCTTACTGACTTTAATGTTTAAGTTACCTACATCCATTCTTATTTTTGTGTACCTGACTGAAAGTGATGTCTTAAAGTATTATATTATATGGACTTAAAGTGGACTGAAAATGCTGTGTTAAAGTGTCGTATTATTTTTGTGCTATTTAAACTCTTCTTTCATCTATATTTTCTATTTTATGAAATTACAGCTATGTTATTTGTCACATATATATTAACTCCTATAGCTTCATTGTGAATCATGTTCTTTATGCAGCCAAATGCATTTTGCCAAATTTCCTTATTTATTTCATTTGCCTGGTATACCTTTACCCATCTCTTTATGTTTGGCTTTTATTATTGTTGAGATTTTGTGTGTGTGTGTGTGCGTGCGTGCATGTGTGTGTGTGTGTGTGTGTGTGTGTGTGTGTGTCAGCATTTTCAAGGATTTTCCTTTGTAAGCCAATCTAAAAATATTTTTCTTCTAATAGGTGAGTTAAGCATAACTGGTAGGTTAGGGCTAAGCTCTATCTTATATTTACTATGTTAGCATATAAATATGTATCTTTATAATATAGTTTTTTGTTCTGTTTTTTACTTTAAAAGATGTATATTGTAATGTATTTCTTTTGATATTTAAAACTTTTGTATTAAAACTTACCTACATATAACCCTTAATCTTTTTTCCTTACTAATGATATCTGTAAGATCAAGTTGATTTTCCTTCTAGTATTCATGTGGTTATCTCTTTTCTCTCCCTATTTTGGTAATTTTGTTGCATCTATTTTATCAGAGCATTTATAGTTACTTTCATCATATGTATTTTACTTTACTATTTTTTCTGTATTTTATAAAAATTTTTCATGTTTAAGGAATTTAAACATGAAACGACTTCATGAATCAGAAGTTTTAAAAAATCAGTGTAGAAATAGAAATATAGGGGGTGATCAAGATCAAAAGATACATGAAAGGAGAAAAGAAAAATAATCTTATAAATGAAGACTAACTTACAAGGTGCCCACACTATATCTTCTATTATGTAAGGAGCACAAGAATAAATATAGAAGAGTAAATGAAAAGATTCAAAAAACTTAATGCAACTAAAACATAAAAAGTTGTATAAAAGGAACAAAAATGTAATAAAGAAGACAGGTGTAAAGGCATTTAAAGACAGGTGTTTATATTTGCAAACAAATATATTCAGTGCTTACCAACAGTCTCTAGCAATGTTTCCCCAATAATATCTTGGCTGTTTCATTCTTTTACTTTGCTACCCAAAGTACGGTTTGTGAGCCAGGAGCATTGGCATCACCTTGCCTTGGTGCTTGTTAGAAACACAGATTCTTCACTCACATCTCTAGACTAATAATCTCCATTTTTAACAAAGTCTGCTTGCAATTCCCATGTGTATTAACATTTGAAAGCACTGTCATAACAGAATCATCGAAGTAAGTCTCTGAATACAATATTCCCTGAGATCATTAATATTTTTCTATTTTCTGTAAACTTTATTCATAAAGGACAGCTTGCTGAAATATAAAATTCTTAACTCACACATTTTTCTTGAGGATCTAAAAAATGTTGCTCTATTGTTGTTTTGTTGTATATATTACTATCAAGAAGTCTGTTGTCAACTTTGTCATTTTACTCTGTAAGTGACCAGGTTTTTTGTCTGATTTTATGATACTTTAAAATCAAATTGTTCTTGTAGAATATACTTTGAAGTTGATTACAACAGGTCAATTTTCCCAGGTATACAATGGGCCAGATATGTAGCTTTGGGTTTTTGTTTGTTTGTTTCAGTGATGCTTTCCTGAATTATAGTTTAGAAGTTAGTTCTGTTTTATTTCATGTTTTGATGGGCACCAACTATACACATATTGGATCTTTACACATGTCTTCTCTATTACATGTTTGCACCCTTCATACCTCTTTTTATGTTTTAGTTCCATTAATTTTTTTGAATTGCTTCATTTACTCCTCTATATTTGTTCTTATGTCCCTTACATAATATGAGACAAAATGTGGGCACCTTATAAATGAAGTCAGTCTTCATTTATAAGATTATTTTTCTTCTTTTGTTCATTTATCTTCTGACCTTGATCAGCCCCTATATTTCTATTTCTATACTGATTTTTTTGGATTTCTGACTCATGAAGTATTTTAATATTTTAAATTCCTTGTTTTTCTATATTTAATTTAATCTGTGTATTATATTAGTGTTTTGCATTATAGCTCTTTGTGGGAGATAGGCTTTCAGGTTGAAAAGTCTGATTTTTATTACCTGATTTCTTTTCTAGAATCATTATGTGAATTATTTCTATTTATGCTTACATTTTTCTTAACTAGCAATAGTTGCTGTATTAATCCATTTTCACACTGCTATAAAGAACTACCTGAGACTGGGTAATTTATGTAGAGATGAGGTTTAATTGATTCACAGTTGCACATGACTGGGAAGGCTTAAGGAAACTTGCAATCATGGCAGAAAGGGAAGGGGAAGGAAGGACCTTCTTCACATGGTGGCAGGCAAGTAAGCAAGCAAGGAGGGAACTGCCAAACACTTTTAAACCATCAGATCTTGTGAGAACTCACTCACTGTCATGAGAGAACAGCATGGAGGAAACTTCCCCCATGATCAAATCACCTCCTACAGGTCCCTCTATAACATGTGGGGATTACAATTTAAGATGAGATTTGGGTGGGGACACAGACCCAAAGCATATCATTCCATCCCTGGCCCCTCCCAAACCTCATGTCCTTCTCACATTTCAAAACACAATCACACCTTCCCAACAGTCCCCCAAAGTCTTAAGTCATTCCAGCATTAACCCAAAAACCCAAGTCCAAAGTCTCATCTTAGACAAGGCAAGTTCCTTCTGCCTATGAGCCTGTAAAATCAAAAACAAGTTACTGCCAAGATACAATAAGGATACAGGCATTGGGTAAATGCTCCCACTCCAAAAAGGGAGAAATGGGTCAAAACAAAGGAGTTCCAGGACTTTGTTTTGAAGTCTGAAGTTCAGTAGGGCAGCCATTAAACCTTAAAGCTCAAAAATAATCTCCTTTGATCCCATGTCTAACATCCAAGGCATACTGATGAAAAGTGTGGGCTCCCAAGGCCTTGGGTAGCTGTGCACCTGACGTTTTGCAGGATACAGCCCCCATAGCTGCTTTCATGGGCTGGTGTTGAGTGCCTGTGGCCTTTCCAGGGGCACAGTGCAAGCTCTCCATGGATCTACCATTCTGGGGTCGGGAGGACAGTGGCCCTCTTCTCACAGCTTCACTAGGAAGTACCCCAGTGAAGTCCCTCTGGGGGCTCCAACCCCATATTTCACCTCTGCACTGCCCTAGCAGAGGTTCTCCCTAAGGGCTCCACCCCTGCAGCAGGCTTCTGCCTAGACATCCAGGCATTTCCATACATCCTCTGAAATCTAGGGGAAGGCTCCCAAAGTTTGAGTCTTGTCTTATGTGCACCCACAGGCCCTATACCACACAGAAGTCACCAACGCTTGGGGCTTGCACCCTCTGAAGCAATGGCTCAGGCTGCACTTTGGCCCCTTTTAGCCATGGCTGGAGTTGGAGTATCTGGGATGCAGGGCACCATGTCCTGAGGCTGCACAGAGCAGCAGAGCTCTGGGCCTGGACCACTAAACCAGTTTTCCCTCCTAGGCCTTCGGGTCTGTCATGGGGGGATCTGCCCTGAAGATCTCCGAAATTCCCTGAAGACATTTTCCCCATTGTCTTGGCTATTAACATTCGGTTTCTCTTTACTTATGCAAATGTATGCACCTGAAGGCTTGAATTTCCTCCAGAAAATGGGTTTTTCTTTTCTACCACATGGTCAGGCTGCAAATTTTCTAAACTTTTATGCTCTGCTTCACTTTTAAACATAAGTTTCAATGTCAGATTATCTCTTCATGAACGGATATTACTGTATACTTTCAGAAAAAGTCAGGTCACGTCTTGAATGCTTTGCTGCTTAGAAATTTCTTCTGCCAGGTACCCTAAATCATCTCTCTCAAGTTCAAAGTTCCATACATCTCTAGGGCAGGGGCAAAATGCCACCAGTCTCTTTGCTAAATCATAGCAAAAGTGACCTTTACTCCAGTTCCCAATAATTTCCTCATCTTCATCTAAGACCACCTCAGCCTGGATTTCATTGTCGATATCACTGTTAGCATTTTGGTCAAAACCATTTAACAAGTCTCTAGGAAGTTCTAAACTTTCCCATATCTTCCTGTCTTCTTCTGAGCCCTCCAACTATTCCAACCTCTGCCCATTACCCACTTCCAAAGCCACTTCTATAGTTGCAAGTTATCTTTATAGTAGTACCTCACTCTTCTGGTATCAGTTTCCTGTATTAGTTTTCACACTGTTATAGAGAGCTACCTAAGACTGGATAATTTATGAAGAAAAAGGTTTAATTTACTCACAGTTCTGCATGCTGAGGAGGCCTCAGGAAACATACAGTCATGGCAAAGGGGAAGGTGAAGCAACGACCTTATTCACATGGTGGCAGGAGAGTAAGCGAGCAAGAGGGGAACTGCCACACACTTTTAAACCATCGGATCTTGTGAGAACTCACTCACTATCATGAGAGAACAGCATGGAGGAAACCACCCCCCGATCCAGGATCCAGTCACCTCCCAGCAGATCCCTCCCTAAGATGTGAGTATTAAAATTCGAGATGAGATTTGGGTGGGGACATGGAGCCAAACCATATCAATTGGTGATCCTCTGTGTGGCAGAAAAGGAAGAGTTAGGTCAAGGGAGGATGCAAGGGAAGATATTTTTTCTGTATATTACCAGATTTTTTTTCAAGAGCATCCTCTTACGTCACTAAACAATGCTATTTGGATCTGACTTCTGATATCCTGTTCATTAGGTTCCTTATCTAAAACATTTCCTTACTTCCTTCCCTTCCTCGCTAAGCTTCCAAGGAAAGCATTGCTTTTCCAAGGCTTTCCTTATCCCCAGAAGTGTGGCCTTCCCAAAACTGTTTCCTCTTACCCATGCATTTTCTAAGCCATCTGACTGCACAGTAGCACGTCCCTTGATCCACCGGCCTCAGTCCTGTTCTTAGTATTTTCCATTTAGGACAGGATTCTTTTTTCTGCTAGTGAACCCTGGTGGCTATTTGTTCTCCTCCATAAGTAACAAAACATCTCTCTTCCTCTCTTTTGTGTAATTTCCTCATGACTCTCAGCTCTGGTGTGAGCCTGGAAGCCTACTTTATTGGTTTGGATAGGTATTTCCCAAGGGTCAGTTTAATGTATCAAATTTGCAGTATTTTCTGTTTTCATCTGAACTGTAGCTACACTATGAAAGTGACTTTATTTGTTCCCCCTCTTAATCTGTAAATTTAGAGAAAAGATTTCTGAGCACATTTAGGCCACCATAATTAACCTATGGAAATCCAGAGGTAAGCACTGGGTTTTTTAGTTGTATTTCCCTTACTACTGCTGAAGTTAAGCTTGTTTACATGTTCATCGACCATTTATATTTCTGCATTTGAGAACTGTCTGTATCTCTTGTCTATGTTTCTATTATGTTATCCATATATTTCTTACTGATTTTCAAGAATCCTTTATGTATTGTGTTGCTAATGCTTTACTGATTTTGTATATTTCAATATGTTCTCCCAGTTTGTAGATTATTTTTTCACTTTTCTTGTAATGTGTTTTGATGAACATAAATTATTTATTTATTTTTTGAGATACAATCTCACTCTGTCATCCAGGGTGAAGTACAGTGGCATAATCATGGCTTCCTGCAGCCTCAACCTCCCTGGCTCAAGAAATCCTCCCACCTGAGCCTCCTGAGTAGCTGAGGCTACAGGCATGTGCCACCATGTCTGGCTAGTTTTTTTTCTTATTTTTTGTAGAGACAAAGTCTCACTATGTTACCCAGGGTGGTCTTAAACTCCTTGGCTCAAACAATCCTCCCACCTTGGCCTCCCAAAGTGTTGGGATTACAGGCATGAGCCACCACACTTGGCCTAAATTACTAACTTCAATAGTTACATTTATCGATATTTCTTTACCATTTAGCCCACTTGTGTCATATTAAAGCAATTTAAAACACATAATCATAAAAATCGTCTATATATTATTTTTTTAAATTACAGTAAGAATGTTTAACATGAAATTTACCCTACTATTAAACTTTTTAGCTATATAATACAGTAGTAATAATTATAAGCATAATGTTGTACAGCAGTTCTCTAGAACTTAATCATCTTGTGTAACTGAAACTTGTATGCATTGAATAGCAACTCCCCATTTTCCTCCTCTGTTTCTATGTGTTTGACTACTTTAGATACCTCAAATAAGTGGTATCATGCGGTATTTGTCCTTTAATGATTGGTTTATTTCACTTAGCATAATGTCCTCAAGGTTTATCTTTTTGATCATCTATGGCAAGATTTCCTTCTTTCTATAGATGAATTATATATCGTTGTTCGTATTTAGCAGATTTTCTTTTTCCACTTATCCATTCATGGGCATTTAAGTTGTTTCCACATCTTGGCTACGGTGAATAATACTAAAATGATCATGGAAATATAAACATCTGATATTTTGAGTTCGATTCTTTTGGATAAATACCCAGGAGTGGGATTGTTAGATCATATAGTGGTTCTATATTTTAATTTTTTGAAGAAACTCCGTCCTGTTTTCCATAGCAGCTATATCATTTTTACATTCCCACCAACAATATATAAGCATTCCAGTTTCTCTATATCCTTGCCAACACTTGTTATATTTTCATTTTTTGGTAATAGCCATCCTGGCAGTTGACAGGTAATATCTCACTGTGGTTTTGGTTTAAATTTCCCTGATGATTAGTGATGTTGGGCACCTTTGCATATACTTGATGTACCTGTCAGCCATTTGTATGTTTTCTTAGGAGAAATGTTTATTTAAGTCCTTTGCCCATTTTTAAATTTGGTTATTTGTGGGTTTTTGCTATTGAATTGATAGAGTTTCTTATCAATTTTGGGTATTAACCCCATATCTGATTTATAGTTTATACATATTTTTTCTTATTATATAGGTTGCTTTTTCATTCTGTTAATTGTTTCGTTGGTCCTACAGAAGTTTTTTAGTTTGATGTAGTCCCACTATTCTCTGTTTTTTTTGGTCCCCTCACTATCTAGTTTTGGTTTTGTTGATTTTGCTTTTAGTGTCACATTCAAGAATCATTGTCAAAACCAATGTAAAGAAGATTTTCTCATATGTTTTCTTCTAGTAGTTTTAGTTTCAGGTCTTATGTTTAAGTCTTTAATCCATTTTGTGTTGATTTTTATGTATAATATAGGGGTTTAAGTTCATTATTTTGAATATGGATATCCAGCTTTCCCAATACCATTTATTTAAGAGGCTATCCTTTCCCCACTATGTACTACTGAAGCTTTTGTCAACGATTAGTTGACCGTATGTGCATGGGTTTATTTATGGTCTTTCTATTCTGTTCCATACATCTGTCTGTATGCCAGGACCATACTGTTTTAATTATTCTAGTTTGTAAAATATTTTGAAATCAGTAAGTGTAATGCCTTTAGCTTTGTTTTTCTTTCTCAAGATTGCTTTGGTTATTTGGAGTCCTTTGGGGTTCCATCGTTTTTTCTACTCTTATTTTAAAATGCCACTTTTTAAATAGTTAATTCTTAAAGTTCAGAATTGATTGATGTGGTGTAAAGGAGAGATCAAACTAATTTTTGCCCATACAGGTAAATATTAATCCTAATAACATTCATTAAATGTTTCCTTCTTTCCCCACAGATCTAAATTTGCCTGTCTTTATCATATATAAAATCTCCACGTATGTATGAGGTTATTTTTAGAATCATTATCTTGTGCCATTATCATATGTCAGTTTGATGGTCCCTTTGACCAAGTCCCACTGTCTTAATTACCTTACATTACTCCTTACCTCACTCCAGTGTTGCATCTGTCTCTACTACTCTAACAAATCTGCCTGTATCAAATCCACCAGTAATCTCCATGTTGTAAAATCCAAATGGAACTTTTTTACGTTTTACTTTATTTATCTTTTAGAAGACTGCAAGGCAGTTTTTCATTTTCTCTCGTGGCTTTTATAAAATCAAACAATTCAGCTTTTCATCTAATATCACCAGCCACTCCTGAGTATCCTTTCTGGCCTTTTCTCATCTACTTAACATCTAAGTGTACAAGTACCTCAAAGCTCGATCTTAAGCTCTTTTCCTTTTCCTAGCTAGAATGTCATTTTGAGTGATCATAACTACCTATTCATGGCCTTATTAATGGCTCCAAATTTATGTGTCTTTCTGAACTCCAGAATTACATTCACGGATATAATAAATATTTATTGAACACATCCCACTTACCAAACACTAATCTAGGCAATAATTATTCAGCAGTGAACAAAAGATACAAAACTCCCTGCCCCCATGGACTATTTATTGTACTAGAGGGACAATTAACAAAGAATATATAAGTGAACTTCTGTATCATACTTCAGATTTTGATGAGCCTCATGAAGAAAACCAAGGCAGGCAAGGTACATAAGAGTTTTGAGATGATGATACTGTAATTTTTAAATAGGATAGAAATCTGACAATTGGACTAGAGATCTAAAAAGTCTTAAGTGGAGGTCAGCAAACTCTGAAGGCCAAATTGGACTCATCATCGGTATTTGTACAGCCACTGAGTATATAATGGTTTCTATGTTTTTAAATAGTTATCAAAAATCAAAAGAAAAAATAACATTTAATGGTATGTGAGAAAAAATGGAATTCAAATTAATACGTCCACAAATAATGTTTTACTGGGACACAACAATGTTCAATTATTTACATACTGTCTATGGCTCCTTTCATGCTTCTATGGCAAAGTTGAGTAGTGGAGGCAAAGACCATATAACCCATAAAAGCTAAACTGTTTACTATCCGGCCCTTTAGAGAAAAAATTTTCTGATCCCTCATCTTAACGAATATACTCTACTGCTTGCAAACAAAAAGCTTCACATGATAAAGGTCTTTTTGAATTCAATATAATAAGAAAATAAACAAATCTTTAGACAAATGTGTTTATTTCTTTCAGTAGACTAAAGAATTTCACTTTTTAATTCAGCTTCCAAAAGACTCGAAAGCTCAATACAACCAAGCTCAGTAACAACGACATTCCAGGTGGCTGGACACCTCTATTGTGTTTAACCATTTACCAACATGTGTATGTGTAAATGTTGATGTACATGGGTTTTACTGTCTTCTTTTTACATTGATTTTCATTTTATGAGAAGCCTATAATTTTGTGTGAAAGTCATTACAAATACAAACATAAGGAAGAGTTATATTTGGTGTATTATTTTAAGAGGTCATTCTTAAAATTGTAATGACCCAACTGCTTTTGTCTCTTATAGGATAAAAAATTATGAGATTAAACAAGTACACATCTAAGTTCATGAGGAAATTCATTGCTCCTCCATGATGAAAATATTACCCAATTAATGTAATACATAATATTCTTAGGAATACTTTAAGAAAAAATATGTAATATCATAGCCTTTTAAAAAGATTCTTTAAAAGTTGTAGATGGAAGTGTAAGCTTTAGTCAATTTGAAACTTTACTTCAAATATTGACGGCATAACTGATGCCTTGACACTAACATTCACATTTTTTTTATTTAGTAAGTAAAGGTCATAACATTAAGATGTGGGTTTCTCTGCCAGCTCTTCTGATCTCCTATAAAATACCTTAAAAAATAAAGTTACAAGAAACAAAAATTAGACTGAAGGGGTTTTTGTTTGCTTGCTTGCTTGTTTTGGTTTTTTTTGTTTTACTTTTGCTACGTTTCAATTTTTTATGATTGCCCTCAAAAAAAACGAAATAAATGAAATTCTTCCTCTGTACATTTGTAGGATGATTTCATTACAAGAATTTTTTTAAAAAGATAAATTTAATATCAGGAATATTCTAGAATTCTGCCGAATTTAGATTACAGAACAGGTCTTTTTATTGTATATATGTGTTCTATGTAAATAACAAGCTTGACACCAGGCCTATTATTAATATATTCACTTGGTGCTTTCTTACAGGAGTACTGTGTGGTTCTTGGCTTGACTAAGATCCCATGATTCTCTGCAATCTATTCATTAAAGTGATAAGTTTTTAAGGGAACTTATATGCTTAAGGAATTTCAGAAAATAAAATTTGTATATATTTTTGAAATGTACCTGTACAAATGAAAGCAGGTTTTCCTAAGACCAATACCAGAAAAGTACAATAACATTTTTTAAATATTAGAAAAGCCTAGTATTAATCTGATATTCATCCCAAGTCAGGCAACATAAGCTCACTAAAATTCCAAGTTTCATTGTTCCTGGTTGTCACTATACCAATTCAGTTCAGTAAAATTACATATCCCTTACCAATTAATAAAAACAAAAACAAAAATTACAATCATAGCTATTATTTGGCTTCAGAGTACTTGCAAAGTAGTAAAGATCACTCTAATTATAACATATTCGTAAGGATTCAGAGATTTCAATATATCCCAAAGCACAGTATGTTTAGGGATAGTGTATTTACTCACTATTCTCAATGCAGGCAAGAGCCATCCTTCTCTATGTTAAGAAAGAAAACCAAAGTTAAAAGGATAAAAGAATCTCCTCTTTCACCTAAAATACTAACAACTGCATAAGCATTTTAATTTTTATTAGGGAATTGAAAAAATATTAATTATTTATGCAATTATTTTTATCTGTCTCCTCTACTAGATTGTAAGTTTCATGAGGGCAAGGACCATGCCTATCTTGGTCACAGGTGCATCTCCAGTGCCTGATGTACTGCCTGGAACATACGGGGCATGGAGTAGGTGAGTGATTTAGGGCAGAGGGCATAAAGTTTGAAGTCAGAATCCTAAAAATCAGAATCAAACTTTGACTCTACCGTTTATTAGGTGTATAATCTTGGATAATTTATTTATTTTTCAGAATCTCCTTATTGTTTAAATGGAGACTATAACGCCTGCCACATAGGATGTTTGTGATCATTACAGGAACTCAGGAATATATAACACTAAGAAGTGCTTAGAGATGGGCACAGTCCCTAAATGTGTGTTCCCTTACCCTCTGACTCTTGGTCTGCACTCTTCCAGGTGGCCCACACCTGAAGGCCAAGTGTCTCTTTGTGTAACCACAAAATAGTGCCAGGAGGTCAAAGAAAGTAAAAATGTACTTGTTCAGTCCTACTAGACTGTGAGTCCTGCGTGGCAGGAACTGCCTCATATCCACCACTGTCATTCCAGAGACTGGAACAATGTCTTGAATGTAAGCAGGGGCTTAATGGACATTTACTATTAAATACTGAAATGGGGAAGTATATCTTTCAAGTAAATATCAACACATACATCAATATCTACCTAAATATTTGTGAATTCTTGGTTAAACTTCCGGTCAGGCCTCAGCTTTCAGCATAAAAGAATTTTACCTCCTTTTACAATTTTCCATGTTTTCCTCTAAGCATAAAATATTTTATTACATAGTAAATAAGCCATCATTAAATCAAAATTTCTCTAACAGAAAACTTAAATGATGATGAAGCATTAATCCTTAATAGTAAAAATGATTTGAAGTTTGAGGTTTGGAGTTTTGTTTGCTTCCCTGTTATATGGAAGGACAGCACTCAAGTGTATTGAGAATGGCTGAATAAATGAACTACTTCTGATCATACTGTCTTCTATGATTTATCAAATTATATGAATCAGTAAAAACATTGTAAAATTATGTGACAGTTGATTTTACTACTTTACCAGGCACTCTGAAACCAAATAATAACTACCAGATTAAACAAGTGAAGTCTCTACGGATGTACTGACATTTCAAATTGTGTTATTAGACAAGAGGGATCTTAATTGAAACAGGTGGATGTAACACTGGGAGTTGGGCTGGGTTGTTTCTCATTTAACAGTGACTGGTTTTCCCTAGGCAGGCTGCTTCCCATTAACTTCTCATTTATTATCAAGATGAAGTTTGATACAAGGGTTACAATATTAAACTACTGATTTAAATTATGTCTTCTGACTTCTTCCTTGGCACCAAAAATCACTAATATTTCTCACTAACTCTTTCGAAACATGCATTTAATTTTCAACCTTAAAAATCTTGGAAAAGATCATCAAGCATATATATTCTGAGACTAAGTCTGATTGGTCATCCAGCCGGAATACAGGAACTAGCCTAGAAGACATGTTAACTAGAACAGGAGACTCCCTACTGCTGGTGCAGTATTTTATTCATCATATTCCAACTGCACTACCTCTGATTCATACTCACACTGTGGAATCCTTTGGTTTTCATGCTGGTTTCTAGGAGTGGAATCTCTAACCCTGCATTAGATAATCTAGGTCCAAGGTCTCTAATTGTTTCTCATAAGCCCATCATGCCCCATCTAAGCAACCTGAACTTGTTTTCAGATGGTCTCTGCTGAATGGTTGAACTCTGAGATTAGGACAATACAATTTCAGTCAAAAGCTAATGGGATTTATCTGGGGTGCGTAGTATGAAGATGAGTGGGAAGGATAAGGAAAGTTTATTTAGAAGAATAAACACATTGAAAAGAGCCATAATTAAGGTGTGATAAGGAGACACTTGTCTACCAGATACTGATATTCAACAAGCAGCAGAGTGACTAAGAACATTGCCTTTACAGTGCAGACATAGTACAAAATCCAAGTTTCCCTGTGTGTGATCTAAGCCACGTCATTTAACCTCTTACAGCCCAGTGTCTGTATCAGTAAATGGGAATAATTATAGTATACATGTGTTGGAAAGAGTAAACATTAAACATGCTAAGATTATTGGCCTTCTGAATTCACAAAGATTAAAAGAAAATTAATACCTAGTACTGACAATGTTATTCTGAAAAAAGACATATGTAAATTAATGTTGGTTGTAGCTCATTTGATACTTTAGAAGAAATAAGCTACAAAAATAATAAAAACAAAAAAATGTACATAACCTTGGACTTGGCACCCCTTATTCTCAGTGTTTATCTTAATGTACTCATTAGACATCTTAAATATTCAATAATATGTGGATGATGTAATACAGACATAGAATAGACTACAAATGTTATTATATTGTATACTTATAACATAAATTGATGTTTACAAAATCATACAGATAAATGTGGCACAATATACTTCTGTAAGTCGTAGCATTATGAGTGACATCATATTTTCTTTTTCTAGCTCTTTTTTCTAATTTTATGTAACAGTCATGTATTCAACTAAACAAGCACTTTTGAAAACAAAATGGTTATATAAATATTAACACTTATTCATAATAAATAATATATTCTAACATTTATTTATCCTTGAGAGAAGTAGTAGTGGGAGTAAAGCTATACCCTGATCTGAATATATTCTGATATTTGCCCTGCAGACTCCCCTGTGCCATCTGTGCTGTCACAATACATATGGGTTAAGTCTGTGGATAATGCCCTCAAAGGCAGCAGACCCACATATTTATTTAGCATTATTCTAAACAAATATGTGATGATTAGTTCAATCATATTTGGGTACCAATATGTTCCTGGATCAATTTACGTGTTGTTATTGGTATTAGAGTAATATTTTAAACCATCATGACTATTCAGTGGAAATCATTCTATTATTTACATGGAACACACAGACCATTTAATATTATTAATTTATTTAATGAGTTATTAGTAGTTAATAGATTAACTAGGTATTTGAATTCCCTCCTTACATTTGTTTTCCACCTTCAGACCAGTTATTTGACTGTTAGCACACAGGTAATTTGAATTTTATTATAAAATAGGTGAAAAGTTTCAGCTTCTAACAATCTTTCACGTCCAAATTCTATTGTTTTTTTCTATTACTTTCCTTGACTCTCATCTTCACAACTTAAATGCAGTCTCTCCTTTTTTAAAATCTGACATGGCTTCCTGTATTGTATTTCAAGCATCATCACAATATAAAATCATATGTTTATCAGGGTAACTATTGAAGATTTTTCTCCCCCATCAGACTCTGAACAACATAAGAGCAGGGATTATGTTTATTTCTATTTATCACTCTATAGCAAGGACCACAAAACCCTCTAATACCATAGTTTCCTTCCATATGAATGCAAATTTTAAAAATGGCTATGTCCATATTTTTAAATTCTCCCATTATATAGATCTTTCTTAAATTTATATATGCCATCTCTCAGAGATGTCCCAGTATAAACTAGGGACATAAAGACTTCCTCAAGGAAGTATAAGGTATAGAGAAATAAGGAAGGTTGCTATTATGAGAAAAGAAGAAAATGCCTCCTGAAGGTCTTAAGAAAGAAGTCAAGAACCATAAAAAGCAAAGCTGAGAGGAAGCCAACAGGTTGCATAGCCATGCAGCCCTCTCCTTGACTCCAGACCCATGCCCAGGAGGGGACATGGAGCAGCACCCCAGGCAGCTGGCAATGAACCAGATGCATCTCTTTCTTTTTTCTTTTTCTTTTCTGTTTTTTGTTTTGTTTTGTTTTGTTTTTCTTTTTTCTTTTTTTTCTTTTTTTTTTTTTTTTTTTTTTTGAGACGGAGTCTTGCTCTGTAGCCAGGCTGGAGTGCAGTGGCACAATTTTGGCTCACTGCAAACTCTGCCTCCTGGGTTCAAGTGATTCTCCTGTCTCAGCCTCCGAAGTAGCTGGATTACAAGTACGCGCCACCACATCCAGCTAATTTTTGTATTTTTAGTAGAGACAGGGTTTCACCATGTTGTCCAGGATGGTCTCGCTCCTGACCTCATGATCCACTCACGTTGACCTCCCCAGGTGCTAGGATTACAGGCATGAGCTGCCACACCCTGCAGAATCTCTTTCTTACATAACAATTTTTCCTTTTATTTCAATCTATTCACTATATTTTTCTACAACCTGTTGCTGCCTTCTGCTGTGCCAGACAATGATGCCCATGGTTATTTGGCACTACTAGTAAAGGAACTAAAAGTGGATTTTCAGTACTGAATATAAATTATATAAATGAATACAAAATCAAAAGCAATCAGCCTGAGCCAAAAGACAGGCATCTTTTAGTCATTACCATTAAAAAAAAATCAAGAAAGAGATGGGAGAGTGAGTGGAGAGGAGAAAGCTACAAAAAGCACTGGATGAGAAATGAAAAATAACAAACGCAGTCAAATAATAATAACAACAGAAATCAAAGAAATTGAAACACTGTTTCTTAAAAGTTTAGTTTATAAAATTCAAATCTGCATAATTCTACTTTTACCTTAAAAACTGAAAAAGTCTCGGAAGCATTATGGTCTCATTTAAAAATAAGTGTATCAATAGCCATTACTGCAGATTTACGGCAGTGGAAGTTTGAAAACAGATCAATCAAGGCAGCTCAGAATACAATAATAGGTTGGATACAAACACCTACTCATACTATAACACTGTCTGCAGCATGTGGAAGTATTCATGGTTTAATTTTTCCCCAAAGTCTAACGTATATTTCTGTACAATGTGTATATATATAGAAATATGTCATTCATCCAAATTACTCCACAATTGATGTTCTATTTTCATCTATGCTTAAATAAAACAGTGCCCACTGAATACCAAGCAAAAACTAAGATTTAAAATGGTGCCAGGCATAACACAGTGCCTGTAGTTTATAACCTGTAAAGGATGAAATGTATTATAACCGCAATAGACTAAATTATCTGCTACCTCTTATTATTGCCTACCTTGCGCAAGCACCATGTGGGCATTTTTCACCTCCCAGCCAACTAAGTAAATGTGGCTGGTGGTAACTCCAATACAGATGTGAACACAAAAGCGTGGAACCTGATGCTTATGGTCTAGATGAAGTAGGGTACTGAGCAAGTTATCCATGGACCTCTGTAAACAATCCTACCTTCTCATTTCTGGACTGTGGCTATCAAACGATTCCTTTGGTCCTTCCTCAGAAGCTAGTATCAGAGTGATGAGAAAATGAAATATAAATTAGCCCACACTATTACGCTAAATTTCAACGTGATACAAGAAAAGAATGTGCTTAATATTATCCCCAAAGATAGGTTTGAATCAAATAACACAGCCTAAGATTTGACACATGAAAAGTTTACTAATAATTATATTAGCTGACAATAATGTAAAGCTTGCAATGGAACCCTCTTAAACTACGCTAAAAGCCATGAAAACTAATATATATGTTTGAGTGTTCGAAATTACTATTATAAAAAGTATTGCTTAAAGTTTTCATCTGCTTGTAATGTTTTCAATAAGCCACTGGCTGTTATTTTACTTAACTTGTGATACGTGAAACGAAAAAACTGAGGTTTCAAATAAAGTCTACTTTCTCACATAAAATGTGTAGGTCAGTCAGAAAAGAAAAATGTCAATAATAATTCTGAATGCTTACTTTGTAATATTTCAGTAGGTAACAACTGAGAAACACATGTAGATGTAACAATAGTTAAGTTCTCTGATTACGTTTAGGTACTGATGGAAAAATTATAGTTTTCATATATTTGTTGCATAATGCTTTCAAATAATAAGCTGAAGAATAGTTTCTTGCAATGATATGCTGGTTTCTTATAATAGTTTCTTAATAGCGTCTCTTGCTCAACAAGCAGGTAACTCAAAGACCACAGGGAAAACTACTACAGTTGTCCCATACTGGCCTGGCATAGCCCCTCTATTAGACATTCTGAATCCTAATTTTTTAAGGTAGTATATGTTCTATCACCTTGGAAAAGCCCTTTCATGTCATATGTAAAACTACAGTACTTAGCTGTCCTAATAAAAAGTTGTTGGAAAATAATTAGTGAATTATTACAGATTTTTATACTATAATTCTTTTTATATAAAATCCCTTAAATACATATATGTAAATTGTAAATGAGATGTAATATATAATAGTACTCCAAATCATTCAGACACAATCATATAATCTTACTGTCAGGACCTGCAAGTTCATTTAGTACTATGTTCTACATATGTGCCTAAATCTTTTACTGGCAGACTGTGAATTTCCTCCTGAAACAGATCATTCCATTTTTAAAAATGCCAAATACTTCAACTTACCTGTCATATCTCTCCCAAGTCTTCTCTCAGCTAAACTAAATATTCATATTTATTTTAACTACCCATCATATAACAAAATTCCAAGAACTTTGTGCCATCATGCTTATCTCCTGGTAAGTGTGCTGCTTTATAGGATGACATTTCTTTTAAAATATCCAGCAGAAGTTGAACACAATATCCAAACACAATCTATGATCTGATTAAAATGGGCTGTACTGGCATGATCATTATCTTTCTTGATTCAAAGGCTAGATTACTTTTAGTGCATCTTAAGACCAATTCAGCTTTATTTTATTATATTCACATGGATATATTTACATGGCTTTTTTTTTTTTTTTTTTTTTGACAGTATCTCACTCTGTTGCCCAGGCTGGAGTACAGTGGGGTGATCTCAGCTCACTGCAGCCTCCTCCTCCCGGGTTCAAGCAATTCTCCTGCCTCAGCCTCCTGAGTAGCTGGGACTACAGGCGTGCACCACCACGCCCAGCTAATTTTTGTATTTTTAGTAGAGACGGGATTTCACCATGTTGGCCAGGATGGTCTCGATCTCCTCACCTCGTGATCCGCCTGCCTCAGCCTCCCAAAGTGCTGGGATTACAGGCGTGAGCCACTGAGCCCGGCCCCTACATGGCTTTTAAATACAGCACATTTGTCGGTGGAGTTTTCTTACAAGACTAGTGCCTTTGGTCTTGGCTTCAACTATGATATATACCATCACGGGAACCTCTTGAAGTATTTTAATATCGAACCAAGAAAATGATGACATGTATGAAAATATAATCCATTTTTCATATCTAGTAATACGATGAAATATTTAAACATCATTTCCCAAATTAAAAAAATATACAAAATTAAACTGTCAAAAGGAAATTAACTTGTAAAAAATATATATATTGCCTACTGTATTTGAAAGCAGAGTGCTTCTCTGATAGATTCGGTTAAAAGATAATAAAAAATTTTAAAACGTTCAAAATTTCAATTTGTTTAAATTCTAAAGGCATACTCCTACCTGATTTTTTTGTGTAATTCTGCTGGGACATTTCATATAATAGCATCTTCCTACTGATACCTTATGTTTATTATAAAACATATGAAACAAAAATGAAGACTAAAGAGCTTTTTCTGATTTTTTTCAAGCTACATGTTAGAGAAAAAAGTAAGATATTGGAAAATACAAAAGGTAAGGTTTTAGACCTTTCATTGTATGCAACAAGCTGAAAAAAATCCAGTATGATGGGAAATATGTGGTCTACACATTGTTTTACAGGTCTTACATTTTTTCACATGTTCCAAAAAGCTGAAAATAAAGTCCCCAGCCATTTACTTCATTTGAATTATTTCCCAGCAAAGTCATTTCAAACTGTGGGGTCGAATTTGTTGAGCTTCAACCATCATCCTTTCTATTTTTTCCCATAATCTCCTCTTCCCCTTTTAAATCCTCACTTATTCCACCCATTTCTTCTTCCTTCATGTACACAGAATATTAGCAAGCAGCAAAGCCCAGATGATGGATTTGGCTATTAAATTTAAAAAAAATCTAAAGCAACCGTACTAATGAGCAGTCAATAACATATTTTCAACTAAATAAAATTGAACTAGGCACTGTTCTATATTAAAAAATATTGCCTAAAGCAAACTTTCATGATAGAAATGCTGCAATCTCCACATCAGTACAGATTTTAATGCCACAATTATATTAGAGAAAGCATTATTCACATAAGTCACATTAAGACAGAATTAAATCACAGTGATTAATTTGCTTGTGGGTTAAAGCTGAATTCAAAAATCTATAAAACTAAATATGTGGAAATGATAGAAGGAAATCTCAGTCATTGGGGCGAAGGTTTTTTCTCTAATTAGCTTCAATGAATCATTAAATTTCTTTGTACAAGCAATTGAAAAAATATACAGCTATTTTAAAACTAACCAGAGAAGAGAAGCATTAAAACAAAGACATTTGGCTTCATATATTATATTTCCTTTTAAAGTATATATTCATAGTTAAATTTGATAACCTCTATTTAAAATATTTGAAAAAAATTATCAATAAAATATAAAATAAGAAACATAAAGTAATAAAATGTATTTGGCTTATGGAGGAACAGGAAGTCTAACAGAGGTCTCGAACATTAAATACTGGGTGATTGTTAAAATTCAGATACCGTTTATTAAAGCTACATCCAAAAGTACATACATAATTCTAAGATGGTGACTGCAATTAAGGAATTTATATTATTACTGTCATCAACCTTTCATTTTATTTTTCCTACACTTGTATTTTAACAGGTTTAATCAATTTAACTCATAATCAAAAGTCTATGGCATAGATAGATAATTGATGATTGATATAAACATAAATAGATAGGTAGATACACACACACATACATAGAAAGTTTTGTTACAAAAGCCATATGTGCTCACTCGCTGCTCTTTTGAGAACAGACTATACAGGGGACAAAGGTGGAAGCACCGGCCAGTTAGTTGGTATTAGAAAAATCCAGGGAAGACATGATGGTGATGTGGACCAGGTGATAGAAGGTGAATGAAGGTGGTGAGAATCGGAGGTAGAGCCAAAAGGATTCAGCAGAGGTTTAAATGTGGGAGATTTTGTCTTAAGCAACTGAAAGGTAGTGTTTCCGTTAATTTCAATGGGAAAAAAATGTGTGTAAAACAGGTTTTTAGGAGATGATTGGAAGTTTGGTTTTGGACAACTTCACTGGACATGAGTAGGCAGTTGGAGGGGAGAGTCTATAGTTCAGGGAATCAAGTTCAAGAGAAGTATGAACACTGGGTGGTGTTGGTTTAAAGTAATGAGACTGCAGGATATCATGAAAGAATGGAATACAGACAGAAAAGGGACGAGGCACAAGGACTGAACTCTAAAATACCACCAAATTTAAAATATTATCTTATTCAAATTGCTTTCAAGAAATGTGCTACCAATTTACACACCTCCCAGAATCATACAATAATGCCAGTCACCAACCTTTGCTAAGATTGGGCATCATCTTTGACCATTTACCATATTAAAAATGTTTCTATGTCTTTTTGTTTGTTTGTTTTTTTAAGTTTTAACTCTTTGTTCCAAGGGAAAATAAGCCTTTTTTATGCTTATTAGTAATTTGCATTCTGTCTTCCATAAATTACTTATGTCCTCAGATCGTTTTTCTCCCCAAGTATTCTAACTCTTCTTATTAATTAATAAATCACTTTACATATTAAGGTAATTAACCTTTCACTTGCAAAATTTGTTGCAAATGCTTTATGTCATTTTCATTTTCATAGTTTTCTAGTGTGAAAGATTTTACACTTTTTAGCAAAATCTATTTGTCAGTTACCTTGTTATATATTCCATTACTTTAATATGTACAAAGATAAATTAAATATATTCACATATTTTCTTCTAATAGTTTACAGTTTCTTGTTTTTTTGCATTTAATTCTCAGTTTTTCTGATATTTATGTTAGGTCATGAGTGAAGACCCTTATAAATATTTTCTTAGATTTTTAGTTCATTTTATAATGATATTAAGTAGTATGTCAATTCCATCTTTACAATTCATTCTTTAACTTATATTCAGTCCTTATTTATAGTGGAATCTAGTTCTGAGATATCTATTCCCTCTCTTTTCTTTAATTACTAATTCTTTTGTCTATGCTTCAAGTCTTTATTTATTATTGTATTGTATTATTGTATTGTATCTTTTTTTTTTTTTTTTTTTTTTTTTTTTGGAGACAGAGTCTGGCTCTGCGGCCCAGGCTGGAGTGCAGTGGTGCCATCTCAGCTCACTGCAAGCTCCGCCTCCCGGGTTCACACCATTCTCCTGCCTCAGCCTCTCGAGTAGCTGGGACTACAGGCGCCCGCCAGCACGCCCGGCTAATTTTTTTTATTTTTAGTAGAGACAGAGTTTCACAGTGTTAGCCAGGATGGTCTCAATCTCCTGACCTCGTGATCCGCCCACCTCGGCCTCCCAAAGTGCTGGGATTACAGGCGTGAGCCACCGCGCCCGGCCCTGTATTGTATCTTTATTATTGTATTTTAAAATTAAATATTTTTATATATTTTTTATATATATATATTATATATATAATTTATTTGTTAAATAGCTGAATGCCTAACAGGCATAGGAGTCTTCTGCTCTAGTTGTCAGGTTCTTTACAAAACCAGAGAGCTGAATGACAGTTTTTGTTTTCCTCTTGTTTAGTATAGCATATGGTGTGTAATCTAAGAATCATTTTTAAATTCAGTCTCTTTGATGATGCAATACTAGAAATCCCTACACCCCCTTTCTAAGCCCAGAATTTGGCAGATGTCTTTCCTTCCTTCTCTTTCCTTCAGTGCTGTTAACCTAGAACTTATGCATCTGGGTAGGGATTTTCTTAATAGACTGGGATAAATCAATACAGGCATAGAGTATGTTTCATATATGAACAAGGAAACTTTTATATTTGTCACAGTTATTTAAATATGCTTCTCCTATTAGTCAAAAACAACTTTAAGGATTCCTCACTCAATTAAAAGCTACATCCATGATTTTTTCTTATCCAAATGCTAATCAATTTTGATATCTTAAAATATCCCCTTAAAAAATCTTTTCATTGAAATTAAATTTTTATTTCACTTTTAATATTAGTCTCCCCATATTCGTTCTATTACTCCATTTTCCTTGGCTACTTTGCTAATCAGAAGTACCTTTCTTTAACTGCAAATGAACAAGGAAACAAAATATTATTTAAGGCAGTCCATGGTAGGTACCCAGAAATTTTTCCCTGCCACATGGCATGCACACTTTGAGACACACTGCATGCCAGTGCATCAGACCCTAACTCCATCTTGAATCAGACAGTTAAGCATGTCCTCAAGGGGAGGCTTGAAGACAATCTACTCGGCTCCATTCATGAATAACTCAGTATTCAAGAATATAGAGAGCAAGGACTCAAAACTCTGCCCTGTACTAGATTTGTGCCAGAGGCCCTGGCTCAGACTCTTTTCAAATACGTAAAAGGCCATTATTCCATCATTTACTGATTTTTATTAGTTACCATGTGGCTCTATTGCATTTTCTGGAAAGGAAAGCTTCTTGCTGAGATAGTGATTGACGAGGCCGGTGGTTGCCTCTTGATCTGTTTCATTTAATGTGGACTTCAACAGACACCCTGCTTTTGATGACTTAAATTCTGTTACTCTCACCTTCACTCCAAGGAAGATTCTGTTTCTTCTTTGGATACTCTCTCTACTAACCATATATTGGCTCAGATATACATTAATGAAATTCCATAGAAATGTAGCTTGCTTTCTCCCTTCTGTTTTCATGCGTACTACTTCAAGGGGCCATTTAACTGGAAAATTTATACTGTATCTTGTAAAATATTGAAAAGGGAGTAAATCTCACCCCCTTTCACAATTCCTCCACATAGCTGCCCCCAAGTATCTCACCTGCACTCCCTCTGAAGGCTTCTCTCCCTCAACTCCTAAGTTCCTCGTCCATTCCCTATGCCTCCACTCAACCTATTCCTAACAACACCTGCCCTGGCTTAAAACAACTTACTTACATGTTGCTTCATGAAATTCTCCTAACTAAACATCTACTTTGCTCATTTGCTTTTTCCCTTTGACATTGAAAGATGCTTTTTGAGCAGGTCTTAAAGAAAAACCGTAAGTCAACCTCACAAGGTTAAAAGAACAAAAAAAAAAATTGTGGGAAATGGCCAGGAAAGTATTATGCCATCTAATTATCACGTGTCAAAAATCAGTACCTAAAAAGAATAGTCTCCAATGATGTTTATAAAGTAAAATAGCTCAAGACTGGTTTCCTCTAAAACTCTGTGTACAAGCTTTATTTTTCATCTTCTGTATTTGATGTGAATCAGCTGGGTGTAGGAAGTGAGGATTTTTTAAAATTTGGTTTTATTTATTTTAAGGAGGATCTTGAGTTCTTCTTTGCCCCAAATATGAGATACATGAGAAAAATTAAAATCAGCTCCATGAAAAGGCAAGGAAGAGATTAGAGATACCAGATGATTGGAGAGGGAGATATCTATTTTATAGATGTGTGTAAGGTAAAGTGGAAAATAAAGACTTATAAGTTCTTTATAAAACATATGAGACAGGAGAAATTTAGGTGGAGGACAGCATAGAAGACACATACATTTTAAATTTATAGGCAGGAAGTCTCTTTCTAATTTTTAAATGAGCAAAAAAGGCAAAGGGAAAATCAAGAATAAATTCTAGCAGGAAAAATGGCAGCACTCTGAGTTTTAGAGGAATGCAACAAATTACTGTGAGAGGTAATAAGACTGTTTTGGGGAAATAGAATAATGAGTTATTTTCACGAACTGAATTTTCTAAATTGAATGTGATGACTGGTAATAATTGATGATTAATGGTTCAGTGCTTTGCACCTTCTAAGCACTTAATAAATATGACTGATTGACTGATATGTCACTTACAAATACAGAATAACAGTTACGAAGCAATTATACAAGCAATACGTGACTGGAAAAGCTTAATGCATCTGAAGATCCTACTAAAATAGAAACTAAATAATAACAATAATAACCCATACCTTTTCTGTATCAATGCCTTTTGACATGGACCATGTTGAGACAATATAATCCATGACTCGCTCACTAAGGCCTTTTGGGACCTGATAGAGTTTTAGGAAGTCCCGTACATTATTCAGCATCTCATGGTATCGGTTGGTGTTGGCATACATTTGCTGGAAAATTGTTGTAACATTTCCAAAAATAGTTGCATAAAGAAGAGCTGAAAGAGAAGAAATGATAAAAATAAAACAAATATCTCATGTGAAAAAAATACAAATATTTGCTAAATCAATGAATAATTTGACAGAGACATCCTTATAAACTTGCAGGGGTAAATACATGTTGAACTCTGAGAAGACTGCCTGACACCTGGTATTCACTCAGAAAACATTACCTGCAGTAGGAGAAACATGACTTTATGAGCATGCAGAGCTCTAGTCAACATGACAAAATGTAAGAGTCATCTTTTCTGAAGAATCAGATGATCCAAAGTTATAATTTTCTGAAGAATCAGATGATCCAAAGTTATAATTTAGCCTAAGAAATTCTATTTGTTAGTAGATTAAAGTTATCCTCCACTTTGTCCTCCTGAATGAAGCCTAATCAATTTAAATTCTTCAGGGATTGATGATCCAGTTTAGAAACATATGCTCTTTCTCACTGCCTGCTCCTTCCAATTTTTGGAATACCTCCCTGGTTATAAATATTTTTGACAGAACATCAGAAATTTAGGGAGTGGAGACAAATTAATGTGCTTCATGTTTAGAAGGTTCTGAAGATAAAGAGGTTTGGAGTTTTTAGCCAAAATAAAACTTTGGCAATGCCGAGAAATTCCAGTTATTAAATTCATGTAATTATTCCAGTGATTTTTTTTATTCCATCATTTTAATTAAATGTAAAGTTAGCCCACTGACAATTGTCATTCATCTACAGGGGACTACAGGTGGTATAGGGTATTTCAAAGCCCCAACTGCTCCCTCCTCCTCAATCCATAATTCACCAACTCTTCTTTCTCCAGACCTAGTCAGGCTATTAATGCTGACAGGATCCTACAAAAGCTTATTTAGGGTACAGTTCAGCCTAAACTGAACAAACTTCCAATCTTCAATAGCACACTACCCGCAACTTCCCTGCCCCTCTGGTTTCACTCTCTTGTTAACTGGAATCTTTTTTGAAAAGGGGGCAGTACTTTATTCACCTTAATGTTCAGTACACAGGCATTTCATAAGCATTTCACAAGTAAGTAGACTCACAGGCAACGATAATTTCCATCCTACATCCTCCAAGCATTTGAAAAATGACTGTAAACAAAATATAGACTGTTTCACTTTGCAGTTTCATCAGCCAAATCCCATTTGATGGAAGTGGTATAAAATCAAGCTAGTGAAGCAACTTAAGATCTTTAATATACTGCTTTTAGAAAATTATTTGTTTTCTTCAAGAAGAGCTGTTCTCCTCTGAGTATAACAAATTACAATTTCACAACAGAAAGCTATTATTTTAAAAAAATGGAGTCAGTTTTTCTGCTATTATTTGATGCCAGTGCAGGACAATTTTTTAAGACAGATTTTTAAGACAGATTTTGTTAGACCTGTGTAGGAGGAATACAGTGTTGACATTTCCCAAGTGAGTCTTTATACCTTTCAATATTCATATTTAAAAACAAAAAAATTATCATTTTGTCAGTCTTTCAACGTCCTGTGTGCATATATTTATTTTAATAGTTCAAAATAAATGTGTTTATCTTTAATGTATCAGTTTTCCATGTTGAAATGAAGAGGTTACTAGGATTCTGGTTATAGTATCCTGAGATCTTGATTCTATAAAGAATTATGAAGTTTATTAAAAGATATAGAGGTCTTTCCTAAAAAAAAAAAAAAAAACCTAAAGGTAATCACAGACTTAACATCTCTATTCCACCATTGTTGCTATTAAGAAAAACAAACAGAAATAAGGTTAACAAATTAATGATAGCAGAATCATCTAACAAATATGGAATTTTACATTTTCAGAAAAGAGAAATAAGAAAATTTTAAATTTTTAAAATAATGAGTATTTAGGGGTTAATGAAATAATGCTGCAATTACGATTTTTAGTAGTGCTCAGCTATCATAAATTGTCAATAAATGTCACAGAACTATCTATTATTTTGACATGTTTAACTTGTTTGGCTCTCTAAGATGCTTGCGATATGCTACATTTGCCAAATGTCTTATTACTGCCTTCTAGTTTAACAAATTACGACACATTTCATCTTTTAGGGTACATTAAATGTACACACAAAATATATTCTGCTCATATAAAAGTTTAAGATAAAATATGAAGAACCTGCTAATGTATTAAAAGTCTGCAGCACTAATAAGTGAAGAATTATCAACATCCCATTAAGTTTGGCCTATTATAAAAATATCCATTTTGTTCATTTTTCACTTTCATTATTTTATGAACACATAATACTTATACATATTTATGAGGTACAATGATATCTTGATATAAGCATATAATGTATAATGATCAAATCAGGGTAATTGGTTATCATTTCTTTGTGTTAGGAACATTCCAGTTCCACTCTTCCAGTTCTCATGCAATTTACAATCAATTATTATTACCCATAGTTGCCCTATTGTGCTACTGAACCTGGATCTTACTTGTATTTTTGTACCCATTAACCAACTGCTCTTTATCCCTCACTGCTTCTCATTTTCATGTGAATGTAGGGTCCCTACATCAGATAAGACTAAACAAGATAATAATTTAAAGTCAGAGATTCAATTGTATGTTTACATTTTTGTAATTTTATTTTGAAATAATTTTAGACTCAAAAGAAGTTGCAGAAATACTGCAGAAAGCTTGCATTGCCCACATGCAGCTTCTCGCAAGGATGACATCCTACACAATTATAGTAATATATCAAAACCAGGAAACTGATAATGGCACAGTACAATTAACCAAACTAGAGAGCTTTTTTTTTTTGGCCAGTTTTTCTTTTTTTCGTATGCACTTGTTTCTTCGGTGTATAGTTTTATAAAATTTTATCACATATATAGATTCATGTCATTTACATATATTTTTAAAAAGAGAAATCACTTCTTCCTTATGAATATCTTCAATCTTGAGTCTGGAATACATTTCAAAAGAGATAATGTGACAGCATGTATGATACTCCAGCAAGCAACAACAGCACTGCCTGAACAAATGGGCACATCTTTAATGAGAGAGGCCTTGGAGCATGACACACAATAATGAGGGAAACTGATCTCAGTAGAAGCTCCCTCTAAACTGCTAACTCTCAAAATAATACCTCCCTCCCATATTACAGACATACCTATCTTCTTGGATGTCTAATCATTATTTGGATCTAACACATCCGAAAAGAAACTCAGTCTATAGCACCCTCTCTCCAACAGCCAAATGCACTTTTCACCTCTGCAAACAGCAAAGCCATACCTAGTTGCTCAGATCAAAAACCTCAAAGTTATTCTTAAATCCATTCTTTGATTCATCTCCTATATCTGATCCATCAACAATTCCTGTTGGCTTTACCTTCAACGTATAGCTTCAATTCAATCACTTCTCACTACCTCTACCAGCATCCTTGCAGTCTCTAAGAGTGCGTGTCTTTGGACCAATTACTAAACCTCCGTTGGCCTCTATGTCCTCACTTAGAACTTTAAAATTACACTGGAATCTTCACAAAAGGGTTGCGCTAAATGAGATAACGCATATAAAAAAGTATAAAAAAAGAGTCTAGTAGCGACTAGGTATCCAGAAATGCTATGCATCATTATCACCACAAAATCATTTCCCAAACAAAAAGAATAATCATATATATATATATATATATATATCATATATATATATAATCTTGGCCACATATAATCATAGCACTGCCTCTTCCACTAGCCATCACTCCTATCAGTCTTCTCTTCATTCCCTCTGCTTCAGTATACATCTTCTTGATGCTGATCAAACAACCTAAACTAACTCATTCTTCAGAGCCCCTTTACTAGCTGTTCCTTGAACACTCTTCTCCATGATCCTCACTTGGTCTGTTTCCGCTCCTCATTCAGGTCTCTGCTCAAAACCTGACTCATCGGCTGGGTGCAGTGGCTCATGCCTGTAATCTCAGCATTTTGGGAGGCCAAGGCAGGCGATCACAAGGTCAGGAGTTCAATACCAGCCTCACCAACATGGTGAAACCCCATCTCTACTAAAAATACAAAAATTAGCTGGGCATGGTGGTGCACACCTGATATCCCAGCTACTTATGGGGCTGAGGCAGGAGAATCGCTTGAACCCGGGAGGCGGAGGTTGCAGTGAGCCGAGATAGCACCACTGCACTCCAGCCTGGGCGACAGAGCGAGACTCTGTCAAAAAAAAAAAAAACAAAAAAAACAAAAAAAACAACCCTCATTCATCACTGAGGCCTTCCCTGACCATGCTGTCTAAACATCCTCTTCCCTCACTATCACTATCCACCTCCTTACTATGCTTTATCATAATTTATCACTACTTTAACTTACATTACTTATTTATTTATTTATTTATTCATTTATTATCCATCTTTTCCCCTAGGAATGCAAATTCCAAGAGGGCAGGTGTGGGCCTGGTCCTTTTGGCTCACTGCTGTATTTTCCCAATATAGACCAGTTCCTAGAACATGGCAAGTGTTCAAATATTTTTTTCCTGTAAATTCACACACCAAAAACTAAAAAACAGTTTTTCAGAAACATTTTATTTTCATATCAAAATCTTACTACCAGTGTTATAAATATACAGAAGGAATATACACTGTTAAGGCAGGTAGGGGAGTGAAACATTTAAAGGCTAAGGTTATTCATGTCCTAACCATATTAAGGTAAAAATAAATTGGAAGTTCCATTGTCATTCATTGAACATGAATTCCCATGGTCTGGCCAGTTTTGTCAGTTTTATAGAGACCCCTTACATTATTTTACCTTTTAAATGAAGGTATCATATAGTCAATCCATGTACTTTACTGTTAATAGTAATAATTAGGTTAATTTGTGACAATTTCATAAGGGTCTTTTTATATGCTCTCCTGCAGACTTACAGACTTCAGATAACTGCTAATTGTGCAAGCTAATCATACTTAAGGTCTTAGTAAATCTGGCATACATACCAGCAAATGCCTTACATAGAAAGTCTTATATTTTTCTTATTCACCACAAAAGGATTATTTTGAAGATAATTATGACACACAAAAGATGGAATATAGACCTTGCCTCTCAATGGAAGGGGTCAGAAATTCTTTGAGAACTCTTCCATTGAGAGGCAAGGTCTATATTCTGATCCCTTGAATGTAGGCATACCCTATGACTCTTTGACCACTAGAATATTGTGACCATGATTTTGTGCCAATGTCTAGGCCCAGAGGCCTTACAAAACTAGAAACTTCTAATTCCTCACTATTGAAACACCTGCTCTTGGAATCTAGTTTTCATGCTGTGAGGAAGCCCGAGCATTTTTCTGGAGAGGCCCACATAGAGAAGAATAAAGGCCCCTGGCCAATAGCTTTGGCTGAACTCCCAGCTAAGCACTGGCCATAGCTGAGCAATTTACAATATTGATGTGAGTATACATTTCTGGTTAACACTTACGACTATGTAGGTGGTTCGACCATTCCGTTTTTTCTTTTCATATTCATGATATTTAATAATGATACTTAAGAAATAAAACAAAATGTTCCATCAGTCTGTGATTGTATGTGCAGGATACAGCTTGAGAACATCAGCCTACCAGCCATGTGGCTGAGTCAACTAAGTAGTTTTCAGGACCACTGAAGCCATCCTAGCTGATACCACATGAACTTGAAATAAGTCATACCCTCATAGCCCTGTGCAAATTGTAGATTCATGAATAAAATAAATAATTATTCTTTTCTTAAGCCACTAAATGTGATTAGTTATGTAACTATGATCAATTTAACGTTAATAACACAGAGTGGTTCTCAATTGGGCAGAGGTCCTGGAGGAAGAGGGTAGTGAGTCCTTTATGACACACATCACAGCCCAAGAGAATACTCTGAAGAACAATTTTTAATATGTAATATAGTTTTATATTTTAAAATGGAAAAATGCCTTTTTATAATATGAACATTAAAGACATGAAAGAATACACAATGTTATCAAAAAGAGACAGGTCAGAAGATTGAACAATGTTATAACTCATCACAGACATCACTATTCATTCAAGCATTGCTGAATTTAGTAGATATTTATTTGACACCTATTATATGCCAGCCACTATACCAACCTCTGGGAACACAATGATAAAAAAGACAGACATAATCCCCACCCTCCAGTAGTATCCACTCCTCCCTATAGAAAACTATTCATCCTTAATTCTCCCAAATTATATTCTTTGAAAGAAGATGAATCTTTCTCTTTTTATAGTTTATAAAAATTCATATAGCCAATCTAAGCATATAAACAATATAGTTTATTTCTCGGGGTTAAACAATTTGTAGAGTCAAAGAAAAATCATGTTAAGCTAATTAACTGTAACCTGGCCTTCACTCTTATAAATTGCTCATGATAAGAGATCAAATAGTGATATTCAGGTCTCTAAAAAAATGTGGTCCAGTTATTTCGTTTGCTCATTAGGTCAAGCTGCATCTCTCCATCTCCTTATTAGTAATTTTTCCTTCTTAGATATTATATTTTGTGCCCCTCCATAATGATAACCAGTACTAACTTTTCCTAATTATCTTCCTTTTATAAATCTTGCCAAGTGATATTGGCCTTAGGCTAAGCAGTTTAAACTATTGATATGATAATGCATTGGCAGTAACGCTTAAGGCCTCATAGGTGATCCAACCATCATTTTCTACTTTTATTTCTATTCATTAAAGTTCACCTTTAATAATGACATTTATGATGTGGAAGGAAAATGTTCCAGCAATCTGTGATCATCTGTGTAGCACACAGCTTGTTAAAACATTTGAAATGGCTCCGGTTGGCCTTAGCACAAAGTGGAGAAGCTCATCTTCAGAAACTTCCAGTTTCCAAGTTGCTCTCCTTCCATCTCTCTCATAATGGCTCCTGGCTTCGCTGGATGCTCTTTTGCAGTGACCCATATATGTAGGCACCCTCTATGCATCTGCTACGAGCCAGGCAATTTCTATTTTCCAATCTTCACTTAATCTACACCCCATTCCATCTAGTATCTGGGCTGTGCCAACTGTTTTGTTAGAAACTGGTCTCATCAATAACTTTAAGTGTTAAATACTGAAAACTATTTGACGCATTTTCCCTCTAAGAGATGCTGGAATTTGGAAAGGGAAATTCCAAGTGATACAGTGAGTTGACTGAATCACTATTTGAATGAACTGTCAACTAGTAGAATTAGTTAGGACACAGCAGGATCACTTTTGGAACTTACCAAATTTTAGTATAATATTGGATAGATGTCACCTATCTTAGAGCTGATCCTGTGATTACCATAACTGACTTTGTCAAAATAGCCCCAATAATTACATGGCAATGACTATTGATATTATTTCCTATATGCCCTAAAGAACCACTTAACTTTAGAAAGTTAATCACAAACCTGCATTAATCAATTACTAATGTAACAAAGACGGAAGAAATGGAGAGAGGAAGAGGAATGAAGGGAAAGATGTGGGAAGATTGTTTACTTGAAAAAATTATAAGAAATTAACATAACAGTAAAAACAAAGAATCAAAGTATTCAGATGGCTTGATCTCCACTTTATCCTTCTATGATAGTTATTCTCTTTTAAGCTAAGTGTATTAGTCAGTGTTCTTTAGAGGGACAGAACTAATAGGATATATCTTCACTTAATATTAATCTTAATATATAAAGGGAAGTTTATTAAGTGTTAACTCACATGATCGTAAGGTCCCACAATAGGCCATCTGCAAACTGAGGAGCAAGAAGAGCCAACCCGAGTCCCAAAACTGAAGAACTTGGAGTCTGATGTTCAATGGCAGGAAGCATCCATCATGGGAGAAAGATGCAGGCTGGGAGGCTAGGCCAGTCTAATCTTTTTATGTTTTTCTGCCTGTTTTATATTCTAGCTGCACTGGCAGCTGATTAGATGGTGCCCACCCAGATTATGGGTGGGTCTACCCTTCCCAGTCCACTGACTCAAATGTTAAACTCCTTTGGCAACACCCTCACAGACATACCCAGGATCAATACTTTGCATCCTTCAATCTAATCAAGGTGACACTCATTATTACCCATCACAAGTCCACTCCTTGTCAACTTGAACCCATATACATCTCCTGAGATCATAATCTTCAAATAAAGACAATAATAAAGTCATAATTACACCTAATATAATACAACTATCCTTTGTACAACCAGAAACACACCAATCCCCAACCCAAATACTATTAAAGTTAACAATACTTAAATGCTGATATGAAGTCAACATGATAAAGAAAAAAAAAAGGAAATAAAATGAAGATATTTTCTTAGTACAAGTATATACATGCACAAACACGTTTTTCACAAAAGGAGGAAATACTGATGACAATTACAGCCCTCATTTCTGCAGCTGGTCAGATGGCAGTAGCTGGTATTGATGACTACCTTCTACTACCCATTCTGTAGTCCTTTTGCCTTCAGCAAGCACTTCAGCAGGTCGTGTTTTTTCCTGGTGGAGTGACCCAAACCTTCATTCCTGAAGAGTCTGAGTCATTTGTAGTCCTGCCTGGATTGGGTTGTTGTAGTTTCCCATTGACCTTAATCACAGGGCATGGTAATACTAAGAGATGCCCTAATGGATCTCCTGTATTCCATGCATACTGTTCCTTACCTCCACTAGGGAGTAGTAAACTAATTTCATCTTGAAAGTGTGGGACAATCACCCAAGCCAACACTGTATCTCCCTTCTTAGCCTGTTGACTTAAAGGTAGGAAGAGCCCAAAGTGTCCAGGTGGCAATCTTAACTTCCAGTTTAATGGAATCTTTGTTGTGTCTCCTGGCTCCTCCCTCTGGAACCAAGACCTCTAGGTCAGCAGAATGTAATATCGCAGGAACAGGAAGTGAAAATTTTGCTAGTGGATCCCTAGGGGTGATGGTGAATGGTGCCACTTCCACTTCCACCCCTTAATTACTAGACCCATGAATCTTGGCTATGGGAGAAACAATACCATATATCGGATGCTGATTCAGAGCATACATGGCCTTCTGGAGAACTCTGGCCAAGACCTGCAAAGTATTATCACCTAATTGGCATTGTAATTCTGACTTCAAAAGACCATTCCACCATTCTATTCATCCAGCTGCCTCAGGACGATGGGGAACATGGTAAGACCAGTGAATTCCATGAACATGAGCCCACTGCCACACTTCTTTAGCTGTAAAGTGAGTGCCTTGGTCAGAGGCAATGCTGTATGGAATACCATGATGGAGGATAAGGCATTCCATGAGTCCATGGATGGTAGTTTTGGCAGAAGCACTGCATGCAGGATAGGCAAACCTATATCTGGAGTAAGTGTCTATTCCAGTGAGGACAAACCTCTGCCCTTTCCATGATGGAAGAGTTCCAATATAATCAACCTGCCACCAGGTAGCGGGCTGATTACCCAGAGTAATGGTGCCATATCGAGGGCTCGGTGTTGGTCTCTGTTGCTGGCAAATTGGACGCTCAGCAGTGGCCATAGCCAGATCAGCCTTGGTGAGTGGAAGTCCATGTTGCTGAGCCCATGCATAACCTCCATCCCTGCCACCATGGCCACTTTGTTCATGGGCGATGACGGGGTGGCTGGGGAAAGAGGCCAAGGGGTGTCCACACAACAAGTCATCCTATCCACTTGATTATTAAAGTCTTCTCCTGCTGAGGTCACCTGTTGGTGAGCACTCACATGAGCTACAAATATCTTCACAGTTTTTGACCACTCAAAAAAGTCCATCCACATACCTCTTCCCCAAATTTCTTTGTCACCAATTTTCCAAACATGCTTCTTTCAAGTCCCTGACCATCCAGCCAAACCACTGGCTACAGCCCATGAATCAGTACATAATCGCGCATCTGGCCATTTCTCCTTCCATGCAAAGTGCATAACCAGGTGGCCTGCTTGAAGTTCTGCCCACTGGGAAGACTTCCCTTCACTGCTGTCCTTCAGGGAGGTCCTAGAAAGGGGCTGTAGTGCTGCAGCTGTCCACTTTCGGGTGATACCTGCATACCATGCAGAACCATCTGTGAATCAGGCCCTAGTCTTCTCTTCCTCTGTAAACTGATCATAGGGAACTCCCCATGAGGCCACCGGTGCAGGCTGGGGAAGAGAAGGCAGGGTGGCAGGAATGGAGACCATGGGCATTTGAGACACTTCTTCATGTAACTTACTTATGCCTTCAAGACTTGCTTGAGTCGGATCACATATATATCACTTCCATTTGATGATAGAATGCTGCTGTGCATGACTCACTTTATGACTGGATAGGTCAGAAAGCACCCAGTTCATGATAGACAGTTTAGGTTGCACAGTGACTTGATTACCCATAGTCAAATGTTCAGTTTCCACCAAAGCCCAGTAACAGGCTAAGAGCTGTCTCTCAAAAGGAGAGTAGTTATCTGCAGAAGACGGCAGGGCCTTGCTCCAAAATCCTAGAGGCCTCCACTGTGATTCATCTATGGGGGCCTGCCAAAGGCTCCAAACAGCATCCCTATCTACCATTGACACCTCAAGCACCATTGGATCTGCTCAGTCACTAAGTAAATTCATTTTCTTTATTCTCTCTAATCCAGCAAAACTCATTTAGCTTCTAATAAAATTAGTACACTTGCCTTGCTTACACAGCTACAGATTTTTTTGTAACTTTGATTAAAAACTATCTGGGCAATATAGAAAAATCCCTCTGAAATAGGAATAATAGTAGATGTTCAGGGAATACTGAACTCACCATTTCAGACTCATTTATTATGGATCAAACAATAGTTCCTAAATGTAACAACTGTCAGGCCACCATAGACAACCAGAGAGTAAAACTCTATGCTATCTTTAGAAGCCCCCAGCTACCTCTTAGTGCCCATCTTTTCCCAACTTCTTACTTGCTACCATCACTCTAAGCCCCCTTCTCACAGGACCTACCCCATTGCTTAAGGCATCACACCCTCCTAGTTGGTGCAGTTGCCCATCTAATACAAAGGCTAACTTAGTCACTAAAAGATTCTCTGGAGGGGAGCTGTCTTAGGCACTAAGCCACAATCTCAAGTGAGTGCAATGCTATCTATGCCAACCTTGGAACACTCGTCACTTCTCCATGTTTCTCAGAAATTTTAAACCCAGCTTGGAAAGAAGCAGAGGAAGAAAGAAAGTGAGGGAGGTTCTACAAGAAACACAGCCAGAGACTGCTGATGATGCACAGTCACTCAGAGGTTCCCAGAAGGAAAATGAAGCCTTTTTTGTGACATGATTTTTCAAAATCTATAGTTACAAAGACTAAAACTTCAGCTGAATACAAATGACTAAGGAGAAATCAGATAGGTCTGTGTTAAAAGATGCAAAGCTGGACAAGGGTCAACACCAACACACAACTTTATGTTCTCAAGGAGCAGAACACCAACTTGGAAAAGATAGTAGGACTGACTTATTTTGCCGCTGAAATTTTGGTTTGCTTTTATTTTCTATCTCTAAAAATTGATTTTTTTTTTTTTGAGACAGAGTCTCTCACTCTGTCACCCAGGCTGGAGTGCAGTGACGTAATCACAGCTCACTGCAGCCTTGACCTCTCAGGCTCAAGCAATCCTCCCACCTTAGCTTCCAGAGTAGCTGGGATCACAGATATGTGCCAACACACCTGGCTCATTTTTTTGTACAGACAGGGTCTTGCTATGGTTCCCAGGCTGGAAAACTGCTATTTTTATAGATTCAAGGAACAACTGAAAGTATAACATATTTCACAAATTATGTAGCTGATGACACATGTCTTTGTCGCTTCTATTTTGTTTCTATTTTTTTCCTATGTTAAGTTAGGAAAAGGCACATTTCCCCCCACCATCTCCATTTACACACACACACACACACACACACACACACACACACACGGTATAATTATGATCTGATCTGATGATTGATAATAGCATGAGATGTATCTTTCAGGATATTTGTAAATTCTTTGATTGCATCTTTAAAAAACAACTTTAAAGCACAAAATAAGAAAACTACAATGATAAGACTTCAGCTATGTAGCAATCCATTATTTCGATACAGAGATTTTCCTATGACCTTGAATTTATAAAATGCAAAGATTACCTTACCTATTTATAAGTCTAGCTTTATCAGCTACAGAAGAAAAAAAAGGAATAAGAAAATACAACAAGTCCTCTCTTACTATGATGAAAAACTGAATTTCTTTTGTTTATGGCTCTTCTCTGTTTATTTTGTACTAGAAACACATTTAAATGACCCAGGAATCTTTGCTTTTCCGTGGTGATACCTGCAAGCCATTTCTCCAATCATAAGCACCAGCATGTAAAAGAAGCAACAAATACAGAATATAACTTACATCACTTTTTCTATTTATCTATAAAGTTAGTGTTACTATTATGCTTACTTAAATATGGAAGCATTAGGATAATACTTAAAATAATACTGAAATTTTATTAAAATACCAGTAAGATTGATCCGAGATACAAAGACTGAAGTGGCCGGCACTGCCAATAACCTAAATAGTTTGGGGTCCTGAGAATGATCCCTATGGAATAGCCAGGAGCTTCTCATAACTTCTGAGAAATCATGTCTTAATATGTCTTCTGGCTGATTCTCAAAAAAATTCATTTTTGCTTCTAAATCTTTGTTCATACAGTTCCCTTGTGGTGGGTTTAAAAACATTACCACAAATTTTTCCTCTCTCGGTATGCAAATCCCTTCGTGGTAAGACTTTACTGCTTCTCCCACTAAAAGATGGAATCTATTTCCTTGAGTCTTCCCTAGCTTTGTAAATTCCTTTGACCAATAGGATGTGGCAGAGATGAGATTATGCAACTTCCAGAGCTAGACCTTCAGAAGACTTGAAGTTTTTGCCTTTACTCTCTTAGGATGCTGCCTTGAAATCATCACCCTGAAGAAGTCTGGGTTGTACTGAGGGACAACAAGAGAGCAAGAATAGCGAAGTCTAGTTATTCTTGTAGTCCCCACTGAACCTAGCTCCCAACTAATGCATCAGCTAAATGTAGCTGCCTGAGGAAACCCAAGCTAAATGAGCAGAAGAACCAATTGCTCAGTCAACCCAGAGGATCATGAGAAATGATGAATGGGTGTGGATTTAGGTCACTTTGGAGTCATTTCTTAGACAGCAATAAACAACCGATGCATCTTTCTCCCATGAAAGCCCTCCGTTTTGCTCCATCCTTCCTAAGTCCCAGACACTCTTCAGGGCCTATTATTTTCTTCATGAAACCTCTTCTGGTTATCCCGGGTCAAGAAATTTTTCTTTCTATTCTTCTACAGAACCTAGCAACATACCACTGTTTAAAATATTAATCATTCATCTTGCTTTATAGTCTTTAACGTGTGTTGACATATCTTCTATAAATCTAATGAGGTCCTTACATCTCTCTATAATTGACAGCATAGTTCTGGACACATAACTATGCTATATTTACATCAAAGATACAAATGGAATTAAACTTAAATATTCTCCTTGTGTAGCAAAGTAAACAGCAAGTGCACAAGAACCACCATCCCAGTTTAAATATGACTGAGAATACTTTTAAAGTACTCTGACATGCCAGTCTGAAGAGATGGAAGACAAAAAACAAACCATTAAGAGGGATGAAATCACAAGGCTATGGCTAATCACAAGGTGAAAATTATCTCCTAATCTCTTCCAAGAATATTAAAACCTGGGAACATCAATTGTTGAAACCTGGCAGTTTATGAAAAATATATTATAAGCCATAGTATATAAAGACTTCCTCAGAAATTAATCAAGAAGAGATGCCTCTACCAAGTATAGATTAAAAGTTCAAATGGGTTTACCATTTAGTGCAATTATTTCATTTCTTAGAGACTATACTATGGTATTATAAAAATAATACATAAAAATATTCACTGAAATTTTATATGCTATATAAGAAAAACAGTAAAATGTTTCAAAATGAAGATTAGGTGATACAAACATTGGCACCTTAATACAGTTGTAAACCAGGCAGCCATTAAGGTAATGATGGGGATCTCTAGGCACAGATCTGAAAAGATTAATGGCATATTTTTGTCTAAAAATTTACTTAATTTGTATGTATACTTTTTTATATGTATCTGAATGTGAGGGTGAATGATTTATGGGCACCTCTTGAGTATACAATTACCTCTTATACTCATGGCCTCCTTTCTATTTACATCCCAAAGTATGGTCTTATCATTCCATAGGTTACCATAATGCTTTCCTAATTGTTCTCCTTACTTCTATTCTCTGTTATAATACCATCTGTACATGACCAAGAGGCAAAATTCCTAGAAACATGACTAAGGGGATGCTTACAAAATGTTAACGTTGTTACTTTTGAGCAATAGGATTTGTGGGGTTCTTTTGCTTTAAAGAAGCAAATTTTTTAAAAAGTGTATAAAGACTTTTCTGTATTAATTGATTATTTTACAATAACCCTGAATAATTTTTAGATAAAGAATAGGTACTTATATTTTTCAGAAAAGTAGAAACTATAATTCTCTGTAAAGAGCAATTAGGTCAATTTCCAATTTGGAGAATATCACTCTTCTCCAAACTGGTTTTCACATTCATCTGAATGAACATAAAGTATAAAAACACAGCTCTAGAACCTGAAACCACTGTTTTCTTTTCTTGCTGGGACTGTACACAGACTAAGCTGACCTGAGGCTTTAAAATGGATAGTGAATTTTGCAAATTATATGACTGAGCTGAACCAAGTATGCCCAAAGAAGAAAAGATGAGTTGGTCAAGGTGGAAGGAATTTTATTTGATGGAGCAGTCCAAAATTTGCAAACTGTACTCTCTTGGAACACTGTAATTCTCTGTGATGGTAACAGATGTTTATCTAAAAAAGTAGTTTCTGGATCAAATAAGTTTCATTAATGTTGCATATTAATTCTTCCTCTTGGAGAGTCCCAATTCACATTAGCATGTCACAATGCATATTAGCATATCAAAAGCTCTGAGAGGCTTTGCAGTAAGACACCATTTTTCATGCTTGTTTGTTTTTAGAACCTTTTTTGTTCATTAAAAATCTATGAATATTTTGCAGATCACCATGGAAAACTGTTTTACAATCCCTGCAGTAGGCAGGAAGGAGCAGGTCCTGGCATTGGGGCACATGAGAGGCTGTTGCCACAATCCCAGGAGGCTAATACAGGCAGCAACAGAGGAGCCTATTTTAGCAAATCTAAAAACAGGTGTTTACTACACCAACCAGTGTCACAGACTGAAAACGAGATGGAACTAGTCATGAAAGGCCATGCCTACTTACAAGAAAAGCAAGAGTAGGAGTGCTAGGTGGTAAGGCCCAACTTCAATTTCACCAAAAAAATAACCTAGGTAGTGACAGAGAGCAAGGTGAAGGACAGTCTACGTGAGTTGGCAGGGCTTGATGTTTTCTTTACAAGGCTTGTTGGGTTTAGACACAGACTCTCTGTATTCCCTGCCACTGTGTTCCGTGGGTCTTAAAGCAGAATTTTTTTAATTGAGTCTTAAGTCAGTGTCTGGTGAATAAGGGTAAAATGCTATTTAAAAAAAAAAAAAAAAAAGCTTATTCTTGCAGTTTTAGACAAGTTGGACTGGAGTGGGAAAGAGACTGAAGACAGGTAAACAAGCTACCAGATTGGTCGCCATCTCCATGAGGAAAGAAATGAAGATAATCTGGAATCGCACAGGTATAGCAGATGAAGAGAGAAATAAGTAAACCAATAGAAATGAGGAAGAATCACAGGACAGAGTGGCTAAACTTAAGTCAGAGGACTCTAACACAGCTACATTCTTGCAGACCTGGAGGGCCCGGGGGCTATCTGCGCTGTCTTGGCACTCTGCATATTCAGTCTGTACTCTCTTCCTTTATGTTGACTGGTTCCTTTCTAATTCTTTTTTTCAAATCCCTTCAGTTGTGTACTTTTGACTGCCCTACATAAAGTGCAAATGTATTGAAGACAAGAAAACATATTTTCGAGGAATTGTGTATTTCCTAGAGCTACCTTGTGCATTGCTTAGAGCAATAGATTAACTGATGTAAAGTTAATTGTTGGTAAGCAAGCACTGCAAGTTATTTTATATATGATGGGGTACTTCACTGACTTATTTTAAAGACAATATTCCATCCTATGTAAAACAAGATTGGATCTTTTAAAGAGCAATCATCAATTGATTATCATATACTTGACAATCATCATCGTCATCTAACTAGAACAAATCCATGTGATGACATATGAAGACAGGAAAACTCCATCATCTGGAAACTTAAGAAGCAGAATATATTACTCTACTTATTATACTTCCTAGGAACTGGGATTTGGAGAAACGTTGAGTGTTGTGCCTATAGAATGTTTCTATCTTCAGCCTATTCATTAGAAGCTGGCCGAAAAGTAACCTTAGTTAATTGCTTATGATGAATGGAATCAATAAAAACCTGCAAGGTTCACAAAAATGGCACTGGTTTAATAGGTTTCAAAGAGTGTAAGTTTTGACTTGATAAAATTATCCCCACCTTTCTAATTTTCAAGACTGTGTACCCCATGAAACACTGTATCCTATGAAAGACTGTAAGACACATTACTGAATTTCTTCTCTTACTGTCTACCACATTACTAAGTTTTATTCTTTTCTAGCAACACTTGGTACCAAATGTTCACCTTTTCAATAAATCATTACTGCCAAGGCTTGACATGTATGGAATAAAGCCATATCAAGTTCATTCTACCGGGCACATCATTGTGGCAGAAATGTCAACTATAATAAGCATGTGATGAAAAAGATCTTCAGGGCTCCTGTCAGGTACTACATAACCTGACAGTAGGTTAAAACTGAACATTTACATGAAGAGGTTGCATGACTGAGGCTGACAGCTGTCATTAACAATATGAAGAAGAAGAAATATGCCAGCTAAGTGTCCCAGCTTTCACTTTACAGGTGCTTTCAAGTTCCCATTTAATCCTTCTGACAAATATGGGAGGGGCATTCCTTTCCATTTACAGATCAGAAATTGGTCACTTCTCCTCATCCACATTACCACTGCCCTGGTCTAGGTACTCCTCTCTCAGCTAAATTACTGGAACAGCCTCCTAATTGATACTCTTGCAAACAATCATGTCCTGATAGTAAGAACTGAGTAATATTAAGGTTTCCTAGGGAAACAAAGCCTCCTGCAACTCAGTATTTTAACAGTAACCAACTTTTACTTATAGTTCTGTAGGGTAAATGTGGATCTACCATTTACCCAGGAGTGATGCCCCAAATGGGATACAGCTTGCTTCCACCCGCAACTTATTCATCTCCCCATGGTTATCAGCAAAGAGGAGAGGATCAGAGGGCCACACAGAACACTTCCTCCCACCTCTCACTGGCAGAGCCCCGTCATGTGGCCCCAACCCACAGCATGGGAGGCTGCAAAAGGTAGAGAAGCACATAGATACGTGATAAGTAAAAATAGCCTCTGCCGCACCAAGGTTCAGTGCAGTCAGGCGGATTGGCTAAAACACAAATCTGCTCATGTCACTCCCCTTCTGAATCTCCTACAATGGCTTCCTAACACCCACAGGTTTAATCTCTACCTTCATCTTCTGATACTTCACACCCCAAAACTCAAGCTCCACAAACATTCAACCACTGGCTTCTTATACACTATGCAGTTTTTAACATTTGCTAATGTTTTTCCAAAAAATCATAATTATGACCAATTCTTAACTACATCCACAGCTACCATCCATGCTCAACCCATCTCTTCCCTATACCTCTACAATAGCCTCCTAACTAGTTCTTTATTTTGATCTTTACAATATATTCTCAACACAGCAGCTAGTACATTACTTTAAAATAACATCAGATCATGTCACTGACCTGCTGAAAAGTTTCCAGGGGCTCTTATCACAAGTAGAATAAAACCAAAGGCTGCACAATCTTCATCTCCAAATTCATCTCTAACCCTCTCTTCCTCCTCACCAGGCACTGGCCCCATGGATTCCTGTGCCCACTTGGCACCCTCCTGCTGCAGGAGCTATGCATTTTCTGCTCCTGACACATAGAACATGCTTACATGGTTCCCACCTTAACTTCATTCAGGTCTCCTAAATGTCACCGTCTAAAACAGAAACCCCCTTATGCCATGCACATAACCTGCTTTATTGTTCTTCACAACACTTACCCCTACCTGACATTGGATTGTGAATATGCTTGTTGTCTGTATAACCTGACGCTCTCTCCAAAATGTAAACTCCTTGAGATCCGGCTGTTCTCTGTCAAATTGAATATAATATTCCCAGGACTTGGTGCAATCAATGCAGAATGAACAAATCAATCATTGAGTGAGGGGGTAAATCCTGACCCTCTATGCCTGGAAGGCACTTTATCTGATGTCATGTGGTAGCTAGTCTATCCTGCAGCTTCCCTGAGGATTTACTCAAGCCTTCCACATTCTTCCCACCAGGAACTTGCCCAGTCCCAGTGTGATTCCTCTCCTGTGCCCTCAGGTCTCTTACTACAGTGTCTGACATGCTGCAGACATTCAACAATTTTACTCAATTCATAAATTCTCCAAGGCAACAGGCCAAATGGCAAGTAGGTAATAAGTTAGGTAACAAGAGATGCAAACCTATTAGGTTGGTGCAAAAGTAATTGCTGTTTTTGCCATTACCTTCATTTAATTCATATTTATCTTTGGTCTATTTTTGGATTTTCTTTATGGTCTCATGATCATTCTGTTTCTGAGCAATTATCACATTGTGCTTTTAAAATTTTTTAATTTAATTTTATTTTTATTATACTTTAAGTTCTGGGACATATGTGCTGAACGTGCAGGTTTGTTACACAGGTATACACGTGCCATAGTGATTTGCTGCACCCATCAACCTGTTATCTACATGTTATCCCTCCCCTATCCCCCTACCCGCTGACAGGCCCTGGTGTGTGATGTTCCCCTCCCTGTGTCCATGTGTTCTCATTGTTCAACTCCTACTTAAGAGCGAGAACATGCAGTGTTTGGTTTTCTGTTCCTGTGTTATTTTGCTGAGAATGATGGTTTCCAGCTTCATCCATGTCCCTGCAAAGGACATGAACTCATCCTTTTTTATGGCTGCATAGTATTCCATGATGTATATGTGCCACATTTTCTTTATCCAGTCTATCACTGATGGGCATTTGGGTTGGTTCGAAGTCTTTGTTATTGTTAACAGTGCTGCAATAAACATACGTGTGCATGTGTCTTTATAGTAGAATGATTTATAATCCTTTTGGTATGTACCCAGTAATGGGATTGCTTGGTCAAATGGTATTTCTGGTTCCAGATCCTTGAGGAATCACCACACTGTCTTCCACAATGGTTGAACTAATTTACACTCCCACCAACAGTGTAAAAGCATTCCTATTTCTCCACATCCCCTCCAGCATCTGTTATTTCCTTACTTTTTAATGATCGCCATTCTAACTGGCATGAGATGGTATCTCATTGTGGTTTTGATTTGCATTTCTCTAATGACCAGTGATGACTAGCTTTTTTTCATGTTTTTTGGCCATATAAATGTCTTCTTTTGAGAAGTGTCTGTTCATATCCTTTGCCTACTTTTTGATGGGGTTTTTTTTTTTCTTGTAAATCTGTTTAAGTTCTTTGTAGATTCTGGATATTAACCCTTTGTCAGATGGATAGATTGCAAAAATTTTCTCCCATTCAGTACGTTGCTTGTTCACTCTGATGATAGTTTCTTTTGCCGTGCAGAAGCTCTTTTAAATAGATCTCATTTGTCAATTTTGGCTTTTGTTGCCATTGCTTTTGGTGTTTCAGTCATGAAGTTTTTATCCATGCCTATGTCCTGAATGGTATTGCCTAGGTTTTCTTCTAGGGTTTTTATTATTTTAGGTCTTGGAGGCATCACACTACCTGACTTCAAACTATACTACAAGGCTGCAGTAACTGAAACAGCATGGTACTGGTACCAAAACAGATACATAGACCAGCAGAACAGAACAGAGGCCTCAGAAATAACGCCACACATCTACAACCATCTGATCTTTGACAAACCTGACAAAAACAAGCAATGGGGAAAGGATTCCCTATTTAATCAATGGTGTTGGGAAAACTGGCTAGCCATATGCAGAAAACTGAAACTGGGCCCCTTCCTTACATCTTATACAAAAATTAACTCAAGATTAATTGAAGATTTAAACGTAATGTCATTACTTTTAATGGCAAAACCATGATTACTTTTGCACCAACTGAATACATCTATAGTTTCTATGTCCATGGCTACTTCGAGTGTATGCTACAGCCACTGCAAAAGAGACCTTTTAGGAAGTAAGTAAATTTCTTTTCTTTATAAGTCTCCCAACAAGCTTACCATTTTGGCCAATTAATCAAATACTCAGTGTCACATCTGCTTAGGACAAGTTACATACAAATTAGCCTCCACTGGTTTCTTTGACACACATACATGGAAACACTTCTGTAAATATTCTCATGCATTTCATAAAGTGATGGTAATTTTTTTTGACTGCTTGGAGCAATCACATGTAAAGAATTTCTCCTAAAAATGGATATTTTACCTGCTATATATACAAATGTCATGACTTCTTCATCTGAAGAATCAAGTTCTTATATTTAAATGTGAGTAGTAATGAATCATTTGATTAGAAGCTTATGTGTCCAAAGTAGTCATGTCCTAATGGCATGGCACAGAAGGAAAGTCAAGTCCTCTGAGTAGTGGCAGATCACACACATAAAAATAGGTAATAATTTTTTTAACTTAAAAAAGTCTAAGTTTTATTCTATTTATAAATCTAGTTATTTTTCTAGCCTTCAGATGTAAAATAAAAGCAAGGCAGTGAGTATCTTTTATAGGATAATGCATGGAAACCTTTAACCACTGGAAAATATAAGGCATAGTTTTAATACAAAGTATTTTGGAAAATATTATGCTCACAATTTAATAATAATACATGTACAGTCATTATTATATATAACTTTTATAAACTCACTTAACCTTAAAAAAAACTCTCTGGCATAGGTCTATTATCATTTCTACTTTAGAGATGATGAAATTAAAGGTGGAGAGGATAGGTTGCTTGTTCAAGGTCAAACCGCTAGTAAGTTATGAAGTCAAGATTCCAACACAGGTATTCTGACCCCAAATCCTGTGTTTTGAATCATTGTCTAAAACTGCCTCTCAATAAACACTTTAAAATTGTTCCCATTAGCCATAAGATCTTAAAATAGGCTCTCTCTGTTTATATAACATATCAGTGAAAACTGTTTTCACTGCAATTGAACATCCACTTGTGAAGAAAATGAAAAGTCAAACATGTCAAGCTCTTGTCTTCAGATTTTTTGATTGGCTTATTGGGTATTATTCAATATTGATTATCATCTGTGTACCAGACTCTTTGTGAGATGCTAAAATACAATGGTATAAAAGATCACATCTATCCCCAGGGAAACCGTAGTTAATAGTAGCCAGTTAAACAATTTCTGTTCAGTGTCACAAATGCTACATAGGGTGCTATAAGACGAACTCACTGGAGGGGCACCAAACCCAATACTGGGGGTTTAAGAAAAGCTTCCCAGAGGAGCAATTTCCAAGTACTTGCTAAAGTTGTTTGGTGGGGCTCCAACATCATAACAGCTAAAATTTGTATTAAGCTATATCGATTGAAAGACAGTTCAATTACTTCTCCATTAATATGAGATAATAAAACTCTCCTTGTGGAAAACAAGGAAATGTCTCATTTACAGTTTCATTTAGAGATATGTCTAAAACAATAGAGTTGGGTTGGAAATTTAGGATGTAGTTCTGACACCACCACACATTAGCTGTGTTGATTCTGGGGAATGAGGAATTGAAATGAATAGAAAGCCCTAAGCATTAGGCAAGAAAATGTGCATTATAGCTTGTTATGATATGTGAGAAGAGGGGGACAAGGACATAAGCAAAGGATGTGGAAGGACATATATGCTTCCATGTGCATCAGTGTGTAAGAGATGGGCTGTACAAGCAGTGTGGTAGGCAAGGATTGGTTTAGGGTGGCTCTGCCTACATATCTCAGAAGAAGACTAATCAGAATCAGGAAGAATAGGTAATTTGTATGAAAATCTCAGACTGAGTCATTGTTTGTGTTCAGTGGCATCCCTAAGGTCAGTGAATCCAATGCTCTGATCCCATTAAATTCCTTTTTCTAAGAAATCCTGTTATCATCTCTCTCACCCTTCTCCCTTTTGAATAGTAAATTTCTCCCTTCAATGGGAATTTTCTAATCAGCAGTTAAGCATATACAAGCTTCTTCCAGCTTATTGAAAAGAAAAAAAATCCTCTTTGATTCTTTCACAATTTCATTTCCTGGTCATTCATTCATTGATTCTACAAATATTCATTTGGTTTCTACTACGTGTCAGATGCACAGATAACACAGAGATGAAAAAATAGTCTCAGTCCATGCCCAATGCTGGTGGTTTTAATCACTCTATGGTATTATTTTAAAAAAGAGAATCTCTATGATACCTAATTCAACATTTTCCCTAAAGATGGTTCTGGCAAATGTTAAGGAGCAAGAATTAAAGTATTACATTGAAATATCTATGCCAAATAATAAAAGAAATGAAGGAAGATACAACTTATCTTTAAATTCCTACTCTTGCCTGTAATTCCAGGACTTTGGGAGGCTGAGGCGTGCAGATCACAAGGTCAGGAGATCAAGACCATTCTAGCTAACACAATGAAACCTCATCTCTACTAAAAAGACCAAAAAAAATTAGCTGGGCGTGGTGGCATGTGCCTGTACTCCCAGCTACTTGGGAGGTTGAGGCAGGAGAACCGCTTGAATCTGGGAGGCGGAGGTTGCAGTGAGCAGATACCATGCCACTGCACTCCAGCCTGGGCAACAGAGCAAGACTCCATCTTAAAGAAAAAATCTACTCTTAGCTCAGTGCACACTGTATAAGGGCACTGAATGAATAGAAATTTGTGATGTTGACATATAGAAAAGTTCTAAGAACTTGCCTTCTACTAACTGACAGAGGTAGTGACAAATAGATGAGGACCTTGGAGTATGGTGAGATGGCAGTGGAAATGACAGAAAAAAGAAGAGAAGGCTCCCGCCTGTAATCCCAGCACTTTGGGAGGCCAAGGCTGGTGGATCACGAGGTCAGGAGATCGAGACCATCCTAGCTAACACAGTGAAACTCCGTTTCTACTGGAAATAAAAAATATTAGCCAGGTGTGGTGGCGGGCGCCTGTAGTCCCAGCTACTCAGGAGGCTGAGGCAGGAGAATGGTGTGAACCCAGGAGGCAGAGCTTGCAGTGAGCCAAGATCGCGCCACTGCACTCCAGCCTGGGCGACAGAACGAGACTCTGACTCAAAAAAAAAAAAAAGAAGAAGAAGAAGAGAAGGAAGAGAAAGAAAATGGTAAAATGCAAATGTAAATTTCTAATTTGGCATGTTATATACCCTCAAGTGTAAAAATTAATTTGTTTTAAGCTATTAAAAAAGGAATGACAGTTTCAAAATAATGATAATTTAAAAATAGAGGATACATGAAGGACAGCTCTTTATATTGTTACCAATGCATAGGTCTAGAATGTGGCTCTTGAGTGAAAGAAGTGATTTTTGTAATTGTTTCAGGTATTAGGCAGACAAATTCATATGATTTATCTGAAAATAAGAACAATATATAAATCAGATTCAAGCATGTGTCAATATATTATACCCACTTGAGCACTGAATAAAAATGAGTTGTCCTACTGGCTAGATCACAGACATTACATATGGGAAGTATAATTGTAAATTATCTAATGCTTTGAATTATATAGCGTTTGAAGGCATTTAAGAAATCAAACAATTATTTTTTTTACTTACCTGAAAAGATTTATAGAAGAAAATAATACAATTCCCTATCTGTTTATTATACATGCCCAAAAATCCTCCTCAATATTTTTCCCCGCAATGAAAGGAACAAAGTGGTCTAGAAATAACAAGAAATGATAACAGCCCTTAGAATCTACAAGCCTCAAGGGGTGACTGTCACCAGTCTGCTGCTGACAGACACAAAGTGATGTCTGTGAATGCATGGCTCAATTGATGGTCCATGCTCCAAGGACTGATCTGGGTCTAGTTTTGCTATTTTTAATTATGATCCCAGGCTTGCAACATGACATCATATTTTCGGGGTCTCAATATGCACTAACTCTTAAGCATGCAGGAGACCTGAAACTCCTGAGGCTAATGATAAAAATAATTTATATTTAAAACAAGTAAACATATCCTCCCACAGAAGAAAGAACTGAACGTGGACTAAAGTTTACCTCCTGGACTTTCATTCCCAAAGAAGTGAGGTTTTTGCGGGACACTTTGTATATCTGTTTACTACTACAGAAGATTTTAACTTCACAAGGAAACTCATAATAAAAGGAATGTAGCATCTTGTGTATAAACGTGTGTTTCTTAAAAATGGCTCATAATATTGACAAGAACTTAAACAAATTTACAAGAAAAAAAAACCTCATCAAAAAGTAGGCAAACAAAAAGACACTTCTCAAAAGAAGACATTTATGCAGCAAACGAACATATGTAAAAAAGCTCAACATCACTGATCATTAGAGAAATGCAAATCAAAACCACAATGAGATACCATCTCACACCAGTCAGAATGGCGATTATTAAAAAGTCAAGAAACCAGCAGCACATCAGAAAGCTTATCCACCACGATCAAGTGGGCTTCATCCCTGGGATGCAAGGCTGGTTCAATATACGCAAATCAATAAATGTAATCCAGCATATAAACAGAGCCAAAGACAAAAACCACATGATTATCTCAATAGATGCAGAAAAGGCCTTTGACAAAATTCAACAACCTTCATGCTAAAAACTCTCAATAAATTAGGTATTGATGGGACGTATTTCAAAATAATAAGAGCTATCTATGACAAACCCACAGCCAATATCATACTGAATGGGCAAAAACTGGAAGCATTCCCTTTGAAAACTGGCACAAGACAGGGATGCCCTCTCTCACCGCTCCTATTCAACATAGTGTTGGAAGTTCTGGCCAGGGCAATTAGGCAGGAGAAGGAAATAAAGGGTATTCAATTAGGAAAAGAGGAAGTCAAATTGTCCCTGTTTGCAGACGACATCATTGTATATCTAGAAAACCCCATCGTCTCAGCCCAAAATCTCCTTAAGCTGATAAGCAACTTCAGCAAAGTCTCAGGATACAAAATCAATGTACAAAAATCACAAGCATTCTTATACACCAACAACAGACAAACAGAGAGCCAAATCATGAGTGAACTCCCATTCACAATTGCTTCAAAGAGAATAAAATACCTAGGAATCCAACTTACAAGGGATGTGAAGGACCTCTTCAAGGAGAACTACAATCCACTGCTCAAGGAAATAAAAGAGGATACAAACAAATGGAAGAACATTCCATGCTCATGGGTAGGAAGAATCAATATCGTGAAAATGGCCATACTGCCCAAGGTAATTTATAGATTCAATGCCATCCCCATCAAGCTACCAATGACTTTCTTCACAGAATTGGAAAAACCTACTTTAAAGTTCATATGGAACCAAAAAAGAGCCCGCATCGCCAAGTCAATCCTAAGCCAAAAGAACAAAGCTGGAGGCATCACTCTACCCCACTTCAAACTATACTACTAGGCTACAGTAACCAAAACAGCATGGTACTGGTACCAAAACAGAGATATAGATCAATGGAACAGAACAGAGCCCTCAGAAATTAAAAAGTCAAGAAACAACAGATGCTGGCGAGGAGAAACAGGAATGCTTTTACACTCTTGGTGGGAATATAAATTAGTTCAACCATTGTGGAAGACAGTGGCGATTCCTCAAAGATCTAGAAATACCATGTGACCCATCAATCCCATTCCTGGGTATATACCCAAAGAAATATAAATCATTCTATTATAAAGATACATGCATGTGGCCAGGCGCAGTGGCTCATGCCTGTAATCCTAGCACTTTGGGAGGCCGAGGCAAGTGGATCACGAGGTCAGGAGATTAAGACCAGCCTGGTGTTAGAAATTGTCAATGTTACGTTGTTGATTAGGTTTTATTGCCTTCCTTTAAGAAATGTTGGCCTGGTGCTATGGCTCATGCCTGTATCCCAGCACTTTGGGAGGCCGAGGCAGGCAAATCATGAGGTCAGGAGTTTGAGAACAGCCTGGCCAAGATAGTGAAACCCCATCTCTACTGAAAATACAAAAATTAGCCAGGCATGGTGGCATGTGCCTGTAATCCCAGCTACCTAGGAGGCTGAGGCAGGAGAATTGCTTGAACCTGGGAGGCGGAGGTTGCAGTGAGTCGAGATGGTGCCACTGCACTCCAGACTGGGTAACAGAGTGAGACTCTGTCTAAAAAAACAAAGTGTTGAAAACTAGATGTTGATGGAAGTATCTTCAGAGTCATAAAGGGAATCTCTGAGAAACTAATAGTTGATAACATATTTAATAGTGAAAGACTTAAGATGTTACCCTAAGATTCAAAGTAAATAATGCATACTCACTCTCACCACTTCTATTATATATTTTGTTGAAATTTTATCCAGTGCAATAATGCAGGAAAAAGAAATAAGACACACCAATTAGAAAGGTGACGTATAGTTTACATGGAAAGGATATGATTGCACAAATAGAAAATGTTTAATAAATCTATCAAAAGCAATATGAACAATACAAGTGAATATAGTCATATAGAAAGACACAAAAAGAACAAACAAAAATCCAGTTTTATTTCTATACACTACCAACAAATAGTTGAAAAGTTAGAAAAACTGACATTTTTAAAAAATCAAGTAGCAGAAAAATGTAAGGATAAATTTAACTGAATATGTATAAATCCTGGACAATAAAATCCACAAAACCTCACATACTATATAGCGACCTTTATCAAGACAACAGGGTATTGCCATAAGGGTAAATATGTAATCAGTGAAACAGAATAGAGTCCAGAAATAGAAGCACACCTGTTTGGTCAATTGATTTTGCTGAAGTATGAATAATTAAATAGAGAAAAGACAGTAGTCCACAATAAATGGAGGTAGAACAACAGGATCTCCACATAAAACAAAAAGAATACTGATTCTTACTTCACATTATATGTAAAAATTTTGAAAATAGATCAAAGACCTGAAGGTAAAACTAAAGCTAGAAATTTCTAAAAGAAAACATAGGATAGAATCCTTTCCCCATTGCTTGTTTTTCTCAAGTTTGTCAAAGATCAGATAGTTGTAGATATGTGGCATTATTTCTGAGGGCTCCGTTCTGTTCCATTGATCTATATCTCTGGATTCCCTATTTAATAAATGGTGCTGGGAAAACTGGCTAGCCATATGTAGAAAGCTGAAACTGGATCCCTTCCTTACACCTTATACAAAAATTAATTCAAGATGGATTAAAGACTTAAACGTTAGACCTAAAACCATAAAAACCCTAGAAGAAAACCTAGGCATTACCATTCAGGACATAGGCATGGGCAAGGACTTCATGTCTAAAACACCAAAAGCAATGGCAACAAAAGACAAAATTGACAAATGGGATCTAATTAAACTAAAGAGCTTCTGCACAGCAAAAGAAACTACCATCAGAGTGAACAGGCAACCTACAAAATGGGAGAAAGTTTTCGCAACCTACTCATGTGACAAAGGGCTAATATCCAGAATCTACAATGAACTCAAACAAATTTACAAGAAAAAAACAAACAACCCCATCAACAAGTGGGCGAAGGACATGAACAGACATTTCTCAAAACAAGACATTTATGCAGCCAAAAAACACATGAAAAAATGCTCACAATCACTGGCCATCAGAGAAATGCAAATCAAAACCACAATGAGATACCATCTCACACCAGTTAGAATGGCGATCATTAAAAAGTCAGGAAACAACAGGTGCTGGAGAGGATGTGGAGAAATAGGAACACTTTTACACTGTTGGTGGGACTGTAAACTAGTTCAACCATTGTGGAAGTCAGTGTGGTGATTCCTCAGGGATCTAGAACTTGAAATACCATTTGATCCAGCCATCCCATTACTAGCTATATACCCAAAGGACTATAAATCATGCTGCTATAAAGACACATGCACACGTATGTTTATTGCGGCACTATTCACAATAGCAAAGACTTGGAACCAACCCAAATGTCCAACAATGATAGACTGGATTAAGAAAATGTGGCACATATACACCATGGAATACTATGCAGCCATAAAAAATGATGAGTTCATGTCCTTTCTAGGGACATGGATGAAATTGGAAATCATCATTCTCAGTAAACTATCGCAAGGACAAAAAACCAAACACCACATGTTCTCACTCATAGGTGGGAATTGAACAATGAGAACACATGGACACAGGAAGGGGAACATCACACTCTGGGGACTGTTGTGGGGATGGGGGGGGGGGCGGAGGGATAGCATTAGGAGATATACCTAATGCTAAATGACTAGTTAATGGGTCCAGCACACCAGCATGGCACATGTATACATATGTAACTAACCTGCACATGGTGCACATGTACCCTAAAACTTAAAGTATATTAATAATAAAATAAAAAAAGAAAAAAAAGAAACCATAGGAGAAAGTCTTGTTCACTTTGGAGTAAAAATTATCTCTAAAGAACATCATAATCACAAAATATTTTTTTAAATTGATAATTGGACTTCTTGACAATTTAAACTTTCTCCACTTCCAAATATCATTAGACAAAAAATTCACACCACAGTCTGAGGCGAGGAGGGCAAATATTCACAATACATGTGGTGTATGAGAAAATATACAAAATATATAAAGAATACTTATAACTCAATAAATAAACCAGCAATCTAATTTAAAATGAGCAAAAAGTTTGAAGGTCCTTTACATTCATTTTCTAGAGCTGCTGTAACAAAGTACCAAGACTGGGGAACTTAAACAATAATTCATTTACTTACTGTGCTGGATGCTAAAAGTTCAAGCTTAAGATGTCAGCAGGGTTGGTTTCTTCTGGGGCCTCTGTCCTTGCCTATAGATGGCTGTCTTCTCCTTATATCTTCACATGGTCTTCCCTCTGTGTATATCTGTGTCCGAATTTCCTCTTATTGTAAGGATACTAGTCGTACTAGATTAGGACCCACCCTAATAACTTCATTTTAAATTAATTATCTCTTTGAAGATGCTGTCTCCAAACACGGTTGCATTTTGAGGTACTGGGAACTTCGATGTAGGAATTTGAGGTACTGGGAACTTCAATTTTACAATACTAGTCAGCCCAAAACATACTTTATTAAAACAGTATACTAATGACTAATAAAAACAAAAACAATTATCAAAATCATTAGTAATCAGTTTAATAGAAACTAAAATCACATTTAGATACTACTACATGCCAATCAGAATGGTAAAAATGATAAAGACTAAGAATAGAATATGTTGGAGAGAATACAGAGCAACTGGAACTCTCATGCATTGCTGGTAGGAATGCAAATTGGTACAATCACTTTGCAAAACTAGTTAGGCAGTCTCCTATAAAGTTAAACCATATGACCAACAGTCCCACGTAATCTCCGTGATTATACTCTAATTATGTAATCATGTACAAATAATTTGTTCCCAGCAATAACCCCAGAGACTCCAACATTATCTGCCACATGTTAAGTACAGACAAAATATTTATCGAATGAATGAATAAATGAATGGGATTTCTTTAACCCGCAAATTATTATTATTGAACATTTAGGTTATTTCCAGTGTAAAGGTAAATCTACAGTCACGTATCTTGTAATTTAGGCATATTTCAAGCCTCCTGAAGGACCTTCCCGAATACTCTCCAAAAAACTTGTGCCAATTTTTATATTACTATCTGTAGCGTGATACAGTTATCTTACTCTGCTCTTTACCCAGTATCAGGCATTAAAATTCACTGTACCATTGCCAATTTGATTTGTAATTTAATGTTAACTTGTACTTCCCTAATTATAAGAGGTATTGATCTTTTTCCATAGAATTTGTTTCTTCTTTGTAAATTTCAGAGTCTATTTTTATAGTTGTGCATTATGATTTGCTCATTATACAAAAGCAAATGTCATCCATGTCTTCTAATCATAACACAGTCTACATAATTTTTAAATTTACAGAATTAAAGCAGGACTTTGTATCTACTTTCTGCTACATAAGAACATTTTTATTAAAAAACATTTCATTAAGCACACCAAGCAATGTGTTTAATACATATATGCTTCAAAAAATATACTTTTAATTTTTTGTATTAGAAATGTATTATTACATTCAGTGAAGTTTTGGATGGTGACTATATGTGGGAGACACTAAACTAAACATTTCATTTCAATTCCTACTTATGCGTTCATAGTCAAGGGCATTGCAACAGTTTCTTTATTAGCAACCATTACATAGGTAATTATATTTTCTATGGAATAGACAGTGGCACTAGAAAAGACAGTTCATTAGTGGTGCAGTTATATATTAGAGCTATAAATCCTATTCTTTTTAAAAACACATACACGTGCACACTCATGTGCTCAATTCCATATACCACTGTGAATTCTCAAACTTAAAGGAAAAAGATTTCAAAAGTATTAGTTTTTCAAAGAAGAAAAGCCAACATTAAGTTTTAAAACTTCTTTCACAAGGCAAAAGAGTAAAAACCAGGAATTGATTTTCAAATGCTGGTGGAATGAGAAATTCTTTGATGTCATTGAGCACACTGGATATTGTGGCACTCAGCAGCCAGGAGAGTCCTCGCCAAAAAAACAATTATTGAGCATCAGCTGTTTTCTGGAACTGGAAACTACATATAGTCATACATGTTTAGAACGATATTAAAATAAGAATAGATGTTCTTGGGGACAAGAGAAAGAAATAAGAAAAAGTAGACTGTAGGTGAGCAGAGAAGAGAGGACTGTGAATAATTTTATCATGATTAGTGGCAAATTAATCACCATGCTCAATATTTACTGTTTTCTCTTTGGTTGAATAATGAGCAATCACTGTAAATTTAGTATAGTATTTATTCATTTGAAAAGATCTCAGAAACATAGACTTATTTTTAGAAGATGAAAATAAATAAGTCCTGGATGTTTGTTGCCAAACAGAATTTGGAACTAACAAAGGTCCCGCATAGAGTGCCAGCCAGCCGCTGATAAATGGATCAGTCCTTCTCTACATTGACACAGAGGGAGAAAAGAATGCTACAAAACTACAGCCATTTTATAAGAGCCAGATTTACCTAAATCGGTCACTTTTCAATCTGTTGTGTCAACATTCCATGGAAACATCTTTAAGCCTTCAATAAAATGCTTATGCATTAAGCGCCATTTAGGCCACATAACAGACCACATTTTTCTACTCATATTTGGCATTACAGGTAGTCAATGATACCCTGACACAGTGCTTAGCCCCCAAGAGCTTAGATTCTAAAATAAGCAATATTGAAGTACATAAACAGAAACTATATGCACATCACTTGTTTAAAGATTTTCATGGAAAACCTCACCATTTATAAACCCTCATTATAAGAATGTCTCACTTCTTTTTTTTTTTAGTAAGAAACTTTTATCCTATTCAAGCCATTATATTTTTTCTGTTTTTGTTTAAAATTCTTTTTCCTGATACATAACTGATAAGTGGGAACTAAATGATGAGAACAGAACAACACACACTGGGGCCTGCCAGAAGGCGGAGGGTGGGAGAAGGGAGAGGATCAGGAGAAATAACCAATAGGTGCCTGGCTTAATACGTGGGTGATGAAATAATCTATACAGCAAACCCCCAGGACACGAGTTTACCTATATAAGAATGTCTCATTTCTAGTAGAAATCCCTCATGCTATGAGAAAGGGAAAACAATTCATTATCACTATGCACATTACTAGTCATGGGTACCATTTAACAAGCATTTTGTACCACAACAGTACTCTGCATGGTTGATATAAGTATCCATATTTTACAGACCCAGACGAAAAAGAATATTCAGATTAAATCATTTCTCAAAGTCACACTGCTAGTGAGTGATAAAGTCTTATACTATCAGACTCTCTACCTTCAAAGCCCTAGTTCCTGAAAAGATTAATAGACTGTCTCCTAAAATAACTTTGATGGTCCACTATATGTCTATCACTCTTAGAAAACTTATTTTAAACATTTAACAATATTTGTGGGGCCTTCAAGAAAAAACTGAGGCCAGGCACAGTGGCTCAATGCCTGTAATCCCAGCACTTTGGGAGGCTGAGGTGGAAGGATCCATTGAGGCCCAGAGTTTGAGACCAGCCTGGGCTAACATAGAGAAACCCCATTTCTTAAAAAAAAAAAAAAAAAAAAAAAAAAAGCTGGGGCATGGTGGTATGAGCCAGTAGTCTCAGCTACTTGGGAAGCTGAGGCTTGGGCCCACATGTTCAAGGCTGCAGTGAGCTAGATCAGGCCACTGTACTCTAGCCCGGGTGACAGAGTGATACCTGTCTCAAAAATAAAAAAGAAAGAAAAAACTGAAAACCCTTCAATATTGCTCTTCTCCTGATCATCTGAGAAGACCACAGATCTTTTTCAGGAAACTAAGAATTCTCTCTACTGAAAGAACTAGTATTGAGCTGCATGCTGTAATTTCTATGCTCCAAGACATGCACAACCATGGGACTTTAGCCAAGTCTCACAAGCAATGTGCTATACACTCAGTAACCAGACTTATGCTTATTGTATGACACTCATAACTGGACAGTCTTCACAACGCTGAGGTTTGCATAGCAGACTGTGGAGTAGGACCACATGCTTTTGTGGTTCTAATCCATGCTATATGTGCCCTGGAGAAATAGGGCCACCATGCTGATCCATACAATAATCGCTTTACAACAGGGTATGGAACATTCGTTTTACTGTCTTTCTTTTTTAATGTAGTTTACTAAATTTGCTTTACCATTAGATTACATGCTGAACATGCTTCTTGGGTAGATTTTAATTGAGGAACATAACTCTTCAGAATTGGACACAGATGCAAATTCCCAAGCCATCAGAGCTCTTATTAACATGGGATTTTAAGCTCATATTGGTCATCTGACTTAGCATTCAGAAAACTAAGCTAAAAAAGTTTTTAAGTACTTTCTATACAACAAGAGCCTTTAGCTTTATATTACTTCCTTTCTACTTTATGGCCTAAGAAATGTTTCTAATATCTCTGAAAGTTTTATCAATAGCTTGCAATGATACGCTTCTACAGTTAGATTTTAAATCTCTAAACATCAGATTCACCTAAAATTACATTGAGGAATCACAGTGGGAACTGTTTAATGAGTTAATTAGTACTTACTCTTCTAATAGAGTTGCACTCATCAATCTGGGAGATAAATAGCAGATGCCTGCTTTCTGAGTTATCTTTCTTTTCCCACATCCTTACTGTCCATTTAACTATTTGATCCAATCGGGACAACTTTTTGAGTAAGAATTGGATATATTCCCAAGTTCAGGAGAATTCAATTACCTAGGATGTATCTAAAAAATTTAGCAGTCCTGTTTGGAAAGCTAGTAAATGAATTAGTCCCTTACCCTTAGGAAATGCAATGATTTTACTTGAAATAAAAAAAGAGTCTTTTCTCTGTGGAGGGTGATTATGATTAACTAGGGACGACTTCTAGGCTCAGGACAAGGGTAACTCTGCTGCTGCTCATGGAATTCAAATTAAGAAGATCAAAATTCCAGGACACTTTAAAATCAGGATGCTGGCAATCTAGTGTTCATTAATACTAGACTTATAAATGGCATATACAGAAAGAAAAATTGAAATTCATATCACCTAAATGAAATATATATTTGCAGATACAGAAAATTTATGTTAGAATACACAAGAATCTATCAATAGTACTAATTACCTCTGTGGAGTAGAATGATGGGATAATGAGGGTGGAGGGAGACTTTTACTTTTCACGTTACACACTGTTGTCCTTTTTTCCACCACAGATATGTAGTACAATAATAATAATAATACTATTACAATAATATAATAATAATGAATAATAAGAAGTGGCTCACAATAGATACAAAGAGGAAAGTTGGAGGAGTGTGAGTTAAGAATCTTTAAGCCACAGAGGCAAAGGTCCTTTGCCCCAATTTACATATTTGATCTCAATTTGCTCCAGTCTATATCCCAACATCTAGGTATATAATCATAGCCAGTTGTTTCTCTTATTCAGACACAGAGATATAACAAGTTTATAAACTTCTGGGATTAAATAGTCCCAGAAGTATTTAATCTGTTAGCCACAGCCCTTCTTGCCTCTTAGAGAACCACCAGTACTGCAGAAATGGGAAGTTTTCTTCAAGCTCTGTGTTAGAATTTAAAATATTTTTCTTAGTGAAATTATAATAAAACTTGAAAATAACTCAAAAAATTCTATTTAACCCACAATGTATCTATAATACGGCACTAACAGCGCTCAGTATGGATATAGCCCATATTTGAAATTGGATTTCTCTGAGTCTGTGAATTGCATTCCAAACAATTGACTTAGAAATGAAAATTACTACAACAATTAATTTTTAAAAATGGAAATAATGGCCGGGCACGGTGGTTCACACCTGTAATCCCAGCACTCTGGGAGGCCAAGGTGGGCAGATTGCCTGGCTTCAGGAGTTCACGACCAGCCCTGGGCAACACGGTGAAACGCTGTCTCTACTAAAATACAAAAAATTAGCCAGGTGTGGCAGTATGCGCCTGTCATCTCAGCAACTTGAGAGGCTGAGGCAGGAGAATTGCTTGAACCCGGGAGGCGGAGGTTGCAGTGAGCTGAGATCGCGCCACTGCACTCCAGCCTGGGCGAGAGAATAAGACTCTGTCTCAAAAAAAGAAAGAAAGAAAAAAACTAGTCTTTCCATGTATACAGCTTTGAGATATGTGTATGTAGGTGATATTTTTAAATGTGCCAGCTGTTAAAAAAAGAAGGCAAATGCAAACCACAAAGGAGTAAAAGGTTAGATGATAAAATCAGAATGTGGAAAATATTAAAGATGAAAACATTTCAGTTTGAATTAGTGCATATTCAAAGTTGAGAAAATTTTCATTTGAATTCTGTAACATATAATTATGTCACTTCCAACATGAAAGTGAATTAGACACAAACTAAATGCTTTAAATACAACATAGCAAACAAAAGCACATAATCAATTTATGAACTAGTTGTATAACTTTATAGGATGCCAGTGTACAAAAAACAACAACGATCTCAAATCCCAGTACTCTATAAAAGAAGTATTTCACTTTAATTAATGAAAGTAAAGACAAATTCTTGAAGAGTAAGTTGGATAATGATAGTAATTATGATATTTCTATGCTTGATCTTAATGCTCAAAAAAGATTCTTGAAATCCCACCAATTTTTTTAAAAAACATAATTAAGAAACCCACAACTGAAAACCAAAACCTACTAATGTTACTAGACAAGCTTTTTACCTTTCTGTACCTTAATTATTCCTCTTGGGGTGATGTGACATCTAAAGTTCTTCTTAGCTCTAAGACAATTATGTTAGCTAAAATTATTATGATATCACTTATCCTGAGAACATAGTAAGCATATAATAACTAAGATGATCAGTTTTCACTATTGACCAGGCTCATAAATAATCATCGAAGAATAATAGTTGAAAATATTCTTACAGGAAAACATGTTCTTTATTTACATGATTGGACAAGGTATTTGCTAATGGAGAATTCTCCTACATACCATACTTGATGACAAAACTTTTAAATATTTAAAGGACAAACACATATTGAACAAACAGTGAAAATAACATCATAGTTTATTCATTATATGTTTTCTAAACACCTCCTATGTGTCACGCACTGTGTCAGACAGTGGGAATACAAGATGAAATGGCATGGCCAGTGCCTTCAGGGAGTTCGAGTTCAGCAGAGGCAGTTAATTAAATGAGTTCTTTAAACAATTATGAGTGTAAGAAGAAAAATGTGATGAAAGGATGGTGATTTCACTACCTAAACATCCTTTTGTGTTTCAGAGTCATTATTTATCATAATGTAGTAGAAGGGAGAAGCACAATTAAAATATAACATTAATGAGAGATAGTTTAATATACAGTGTTAATTGTTTTACAAATAAATACAGTGTTGAAATTCAAAAACAAAGGTTAGAAGAAAGACCTGGGTCTGTGAGGAAAATATTTATAGCCCCAAATCCCATAGCACTTCCCTAATGTAATAATTTCTGCTTTACATTCTGTGTTGCCAACACCTGTCTGTTTGCAAATAAACCTCTCACAATCATTAGTCATGTTTGTTCATGCTGAACACTTCTCTCCTTGAAAACACAGCACCTGCAGAGGACACACACACACACACACACACACACACACACACACACAAGAATATCACTCTCTGAGCATCTTCAGGCTGCAACTTTGGAACAGATGTGCCCAAACATCTCTAATTGCACAGCTGGCTTCCTCTGGAACCCATCAACCCAAAAGATAACAGATAAGCACGAAGCAATTCGGCCAAAAACTGCAATACTGTGTAGCACGTGAAAATTTGTGCTTTGATTTTTATATTGGACTAGTGGTCTGCACATAAAACTAGCAATAAACAGAATCCTGCAGGGTTCATGTTTTCAAGAGCACACCCAGCCACATGTTCTCTTTAATGGCTGTACTGAACTAACACTCTGGCATGACAGGGTTTCTTATGGCTTGAACCAGGAGTGGGGTGTGCATGTGTCTGGAAGCCCACAATGATTGTGATACCAGTTGAAAAGGTAAAGTGAATATTTCTCATATGCTATGTGAAATTCTTCATGTTGTCAAGCTTGTTTTGAAGCTTGAAAGAAATTGGTCATGAGCTCTTTGTCTGAAAACTGACTTCATCAATCATACTTTTCAGGGAGAATATGGTTCCTGTCAACACGGGCATTATTCTAACATACACACATAGCTGGATGTGCCTTTCCTTTCAAAGACTTGGCTATGGTACAGTATAGTTTGAGGTTTATAAAGCACTTTGAAAATATACAAATTACTGTATCTTGATTTAAAAAAGGGAGGAACTAATACCAGAATAGTTAAGACTTTATTAGATGATATCATTTAATAATAGAATATTTAGATATGAATAGAACCGGTAGTGAACGTGATGACAAGGGAAGTCATACTTCCCAGGAGTGTTAAAATATTTCTATACATCAAAAAATGCCAAACAAAATGCCATATTTGGTTGACTTAATCCTCTATCTTTGACAATGGCATAAAGAGCATGTAAAGGGAAAATACATAATTAGCCCCTTGCTCCTAATTTTGCTTAAACTCTTATTATGCTACTTACTGAAATGAGATGTTTATTTTATTATTATCACTGCAGAAATCCGAGAAAATACAGGTCTATTCAATTTCACCTGCTAGCCTAGACTTCAAGTAGACTTCAGAGCAATACCAGTTTGTATGGTCTTTTTGGCAATAGCAGGAAATGATACAAGCGAAATCAGTTCTTGATTAAGGGAGGAGCAGAATTGCATTAGTTAGATATTCTGGTAGTGCTGCAAACTATAATGATAAATGAAGACAGCCCAAGACTTAAGATGTAAAGTTATGTAGCTCATGCAATTCAATGTCAGTATTTGAAGGCTATATGATGAATATTTCCAGAAGTATAAGAAAAAAGTAAGAACAAATTTGCCTCTTACTGATGCTTCAAAAATCATTTGTGTATATTTAACAAAAGAAGTGTCTAAATAGATCTGAAGTTAAACCACAGTACTGAACACACTAGATGAGGTAACATTGAGTATTATACAAGATTTAAGACTTAAAGGGAGGGACTCACTTCATCAAAATGGAAAAAGCCTTGAAGCTGGGGTCAGAATATAGCGTTCCAGCTTCTGGGTCAGAGAATACATGTATGAGGTGGGGAGAAAAGACCCATGGAGCTGCCCTTGATGTGCCAGACTGTCTGCTTTGCTCATACCTCTTGTTTGCCCATACCCTGAAATTATTATTAAAGCTTCTTACTGCATAAGAAAAAAAAAAGGTGTTCTAGTGTTAGCATTGCTATTGAGTAGTCTCACATGAAACTTTTGGGGCCTCATCACTTTTTTTCTCAACTGTGTTGAACTATGTAGCCTCATCACCTGCTAGGGTCCAGTTCTTACTCCTTAAAACAAGAAGGATAAATGAAATTAGTTTTAGTTTCAGCTGTCTCCCTTTATAAATCTTTTTACTAATTCTAACACATGTGTTTCTAAGAGCATTCGAAACTTTCCTAAGAGGGATTTAAAAATGTTGGCATGCTAATTCCCAATCAAGACTGAGGCTCTGCAGGTAACTTTTACAGCCTACTAATAAAACCTATTTTATTAGATTTGTTGTGCTTTGTCTTACCAAGAATATAAACTTCCTGCTTTGAAGAAAGGGAATGAAGTTTAATTTTATCTTTTAATTCCATTCAAACTGAAACTATACAGACTGAAAGTCCTGCACATACTATAAGATGTGCTAATGAAGTTGCAGATTGTTGTAAAAGGTTACTATGAAAGGAGAATTTAAACAGAAATTATGAGAGTGTATATTCTCTTTTGTACTGTAATTCAATAGATGAAATTTAACTTTGTTTTATCACCCTTGGCAGGAAAATCATTCAACCTCTGAGTCTCAGATAGATGATTTGTGAGAAATTTGAATTACACCTAACCTGGCAGTGGGCAGGCATCTGAAACAGATGATCTCAAGGTTCCATTCAGCAATAAGATCTATATTTTTATATTTTTTGGTTTTAAGTTGGAAACTAATTTTACATATATTCCTATAAGACTCTGTCTTATGGGATTTTAAGGTTCCACTCAGATAACTGTATTAGATTAATTCTCAGGAGCAGGAATAGTGTCACCAGATATTAAAAAGCAAGTTTCTGTGCATATGTTGACCCAAACCATAATAATATCATTATTATTTGTAGACTTCCTAGGATTGCAGAAAGCCTGTCACACATCTGCATAATTCATCTGGACCTGTATCCCTCTTCCTAAAAATAATTGTTAATATCACAGAAAAGGTCACTGACCCCAACCCAATTAGAGAATTTAGACAAATAAGTTCACTTATCTAAGCATTTACTGAAGTTGCTCTCCGATAAAACCTAAGAATTTCTTAGCCACAAGAATATCTAATCTGGGACAGGCAAAAGTCACTTGGAGTCAAATTTATCCTTAAGTGCCAGCTGCAACATATTCTAATGGGTGATAACACCCTACAACAGTAACGTCCTTGCAGTGGACATTCATGGGCTGGAAGTGGCTGGATGTGCATGAGCTCTGAGAAGGAGGAGATTTTGTCTAAAGTTCCTATACCACACCCTAGGTGATATAAGTTATGTACCTGATGACAAAGGCTACTCATGGAAATGCAAAAGTGAGAGTTAAAATAAAAAGATATAGACAAAAGTCCAAGGATTTTACTCAACAAATACTTATTGATTGAGAGTCAGCTACCTGCCAGACACACTGTTCTAGGCACTGAGGGCACAGAATTGAACAAAAGGAATGAAAACCTCCCCCTCACAGAGCTTACATCCCAGCAGAGCATCACATGGGGGCCAAGCCAGGAAAAGCAGAGACTGCACCAAAAAAAGCTCAATTGCAGAGGAGAAGAATATCATGCATGACAAAGCCACATGGCAGGAAGCAAGGGAAAAGTCAACAACTAAGAGCAGAGATATTGGGGGATGATGATGCAGTAGTCGAGAGAGCAGCCGATGAGCACATTAACTGACAGAGCCGGCCTGGAGTTTTAGATGCTGGCCCTGTTCCCATTCCTCTGCCTCTCCGATTCCTAAGAGAGTAGAATCTCCATAAGACAAGCAGCCAGGACAGATTCCAGACTCTGACATTCAGACTACTTCAGTACCTATAATGTTTGGATGTGAGAAAAAACTTGGCTCATTAAGTGCCATATTCTACACAATAACAATTCTGTATGGTAATAAATTATCCTGCATAGTACTATTGCATTTCAATTGAATGTATAACTACATAGGAGAGAAGCTAATTATCCATGGGTATTAAAGATGGTTGTTTAAAAAGGCATTAGAAAACTAAGTAGAAAAATTAGAAGACGAAGTTCATAAACATGTTCTGATTCAACCAGCCATCAAATTAATATAACCCATCTTCGGCAAAGTTGACAAAAACAAGCAATGGGGAAAAGACTCACTATTCAATAAATGGTGCTGGGAGAACTGGCTAGCCATACGCAGAAGACTGAAACTGGACCCTTTCTTACACCATATACAAAAATCAATGCAAGATGGATTAAAGATGTAAATGTAAAACCCAAAACTATAAAAACCCTGGAAGACAACCTAGGCAATACCATCCTGGACGTAGGAATGGGCAAAGATTTCATGACAAAGACACCAAAAGCAATCGCACCAATAGCAAAAATTGACAAATGGGATCTAATTAAACTAAAGAGCTTCTGCACAGCAAAAGAAACCATCAATAGAGTAAACAGACAGCCTACAGAATGGGAGAAAATATTTGCAAACTATGTATCTGGGAAAGGTCTAATATCCATCATCTATAAGGAACTTAAATTTACAAGAGAAAAACAACCCCATTAAAAAGTGGGCAAAGGGCCGGGCGCGGTGGCTCACGCCTGTAATCCCAGCACTTTGGGAGGCCGAGGCGGGCGGATCACGAGGTCAGGAGATCGAGACCATCCCGGCTAACACGGTGAAACCCCGTCTCTACTAAAAATACAAAAAAAAAATTAGCCGGGCGTGGTGGCAGGCGCCTGTAGTCCCAGCTACTTGGGAGGCTGAGTCAGGAGAATGGCGTGAACCCGGGAGGCGGAGCTTGCAGTGAGCCGAGATCGCGCCACTGCACTCCAGCCTGGGGGACAGAGCGAGACTCCGTCTCAAAAAAAAAAAAAAAAAAAAAAGTGGGCAAAGGACATAAACAGACACTTTTCAAAAGAAGAGATACATGCAGCCAACAAGCACATGCAAAAAAACTCAGTATCACTGATCATTAGAGAGATGCAAATCAAAATCACAGTGAGATACCATCTCTGAATAGCTATTATTAAAAAGTCAGAATAGCTATTATTAAAAAGTCAAAAAATAACAAATGCTGGCGAGGTTGCAGAGAAAAGGGAACACTAACACACTGTTGGAGGGAGTGTGAATTAGTTCAACTATTGTGGAAAGCAGTATGGCGATTCCTCAAAGAGCTAAAAGTAGAACTGCCATTCAAACCAGCAATCCTACTACTGGGTATATACCCAGAGGATTATAAATCATTCTACCATAAAGACACATGCACACAACTGTTCACTGCAGCACTGTTCACAATAGCAAAGACATGGAATCAACCTAAATGCCCATCAATGACAGACTGAATAAAGAAAATGTAGTACATCTACACCATGGAATATTATTCAGCCATAAAAAACAATGAGATCATGTCTTTTGCAGGAATATGGATGGAGCTAGAGGCTATTATCCTCAGCAAACTAACATAGGAACAGATAACCAAATACCGCATGTTCTCACTTCTAAGTAGGAGCTAAATGATGACAACTTATGAACACAAAGAAGGAAACAGCAGACACTGGGGTCTACTTGAGGGTGGAAGTGGGAGGAGGGAGAGGAGCATAAAAGATAACTATTGGTACTGGGCTTCATTCCTGGGTGATAAAATAATCGGTACAACAAACCCCCGTGACATGAGTTTACCTATGTAACAAACCTTCATATGGACCCCCAAACCTAAAAGTTAAAAAAAAAAGACTTGAAACTAAACATCATGCCCCTAATCCTATAACCCTATATAGGCATACCTCATTTTATTGTGCTTCACAAATACTGTCGTTTTGCAAATTAAAGGTTGTGGCAGCTCTGCATCAAGCAAGTCTATTGATGTCATTTTTCGAACAGTATGTGCTCATTTTGTGTCTCTGTGTCACATTTTGGTAATTCTCACAATATTTCAAATGTTTTCATTATTATCATATTTTTATGGTGATCTATGATTGGTAATCTTGGATATTATTGTGATTGTTTAGGGATGTCACAAACTTGGCCAATGTAAGGCAGTGAACTTAATCAATAAATGTTTTGTGTTTTGAATGCTCCATCAGCCAGCCATTCCCCTGTCTTTCTTCCCCTACTTGGGTCTCCCTGTTCCCTGAGACACAACAATATTGAAATTAGGCCAGTTAATCACTCTACAATGGTCTTTAAGTGTTGCAGTGAAAGGAAGAGTCCCACATCTCTCATTTTAAATCAAAAGCTAGAAATAATTAAGCTTAGTGAGGAAGGTATGCCAAAAGCTGAAAGAGTCCAAAAGCTAGGCTTCTTGCAACAAAAAATAAGCCAAGTTGTGAATGCAAAGGAAAAGTTCTTGAAGAACTAGTTAAAAGTGTTCCTCCTCTAAACACATAAATAATGCGAAAGAGAAACAGCTTTATCGCTGCTATAAAGAAAATTTAAATGATCTGGATAGAAAATCAAACAGCCACAACATTGACTTAAGCCAAAGACTAAGCCAGAGCAAGGCTCTAACTCTCCCCAATTGTATGAAGGCTGAAAGAGGTAAGGAAGCTGCAGAAGTTGCAAGCTACCAGAGATTGGTCCAGAGGTTTAAATAAAGAAGCCATTTCCATAACATGAAAGTGCAAGGTGAAGCAAGTGCTGATGAAGAAGCTTCAGCAAGTTATTCAGATCATCTGGCCAAGATGCCTGGTAAAAATGGCTACACTAAACAACAAATTTTCAATGTAAATGAAATGGCCCTCTTTTGGAAGGAGATACTATCTAGGACTTTCATAGCTACAGAGAAGTCATGTCTGGCTTCAAAACCTCAAACCCTCTCTTGTCAGTAGTTAATGCAGCCAGTGACTTCATCTTGAAGCCAGAGCTCACTGACAATTGCAAAAACCCAAAGGTCTTAAAAATTATGCGAAATCTACTCTACCTGTGCCCTATAAATGGGACAACAAAGCTTGAATGACAACACATATGTTTAAAGCATGATTCACTGGATATTTTAAGCCTATTGTTGAGACCTGGTGTACCCCCCCAAAAATTTTTTTTTCAAAAGGGTGCTTCTCTCTGACAATGCACCTGGTCACCTAAGAGCTGAAACAGAGATGTACAAGAAGATGAATATTGTTTTCATACCTGCTAACACAACATCCATTCTGCAGCCCATGGATCAAGGAGTAAATTTGACTTTCAAGTCTTATTATTTAAGATAATATATTTCATAAGGCTATAGCTAGTGTAGACAGTGATTCCCCTGATAGATCTGGGCAAAGAAAATTGAAAACCTTCTAGAAAGAATTCACCATTCTAGAGGCCATTTGGAACATCATGATTCATGTGAGGAGGCCAAAATATCTACATTAACATGAGTCTGGAAGAAGTTGATTGTGACCCTCATGGATGACTTTGAGGGGTTCAAGATTTCAGTGGAGGGAGTAACTGCAGATGTGGTGGGGATACCAAGAGAACTAGAATTAGAACTGGAGCATTTTAATTCTGCAGTGAATTCACTATAAAACTAACTAACAAGGAGTTGCTTCTTACGGATAAGTGAAGAAAGTGGTTCCTTGAGATGGAATCTACTCCTGGTGAAGATACTATGAACATTTTTCAAATGATAACATAAGATTTAGAATAGTACATAAATGGCCGGGCATGATGGCTCAAGCCTGTAATCCCAGCACTTTGGGAGGCCGAAGTAGGTGGATCACTTGAGGTCAGGAGTTTGTGACCAGTCTGGCCAACATGGTGAAATCCTGCCTCCACTAAAAATACAAAAATTAGCTGGGCATGGTGGTGTGTGCCTGTAATCCCAGCTACTTGGGAGGCTAAGGCAAGAGAATTGCTTGAACTTGGGAGGCTGCAGTGAGCTGAGATCATGCCACTGCACTTCAGCCTGGGCGACAGAGCGAGACTCCAACTCAAAAAAAAGAATAGTACATAAACTTAGTTGATCAAGCAGCAGCAGGATTTGAAAGAAATGACTCTAGTTTTGAAAGAAGTTCTATTGTGGGTAAAATCAAACAACATTGCATGCTATAGAGAAATCTTTTGTGAAGACTGCATGCAAACGTTTTATTTTATTTTAAGAAATTGCCACAGCCACCTTAACCTTCAGCAATGACTACTCATCAGTCAGCAGCTATCTACGTATGTTGAGGCAAGATCTTCCACCCGCAAAAAGATTATGCCTCATTGAAGACTCAGATGATTTTTTGCATTTTTTAGCAAGAAAGCATTTTAAATTAAGGTATGAACATTGTTTTTTAGACATAATAGTATTCCATATTTAATAGACTGCAGTATCATGTAAACATAACTTTTATATGTACTGGGAAAACAAAAAATTATGAGAGACTCATTGTATTACAATATTCACTTCACTGAGGTGGCCTAGAATTGAACCTATAATATCTCTGAGATACGTTTGTGCTGGATATTTTAAGACATCACATCACAAAACACGCACACAGGCACACTGAATCTAAGTATTAAAGAGGAGAGATCTATACTCCTATGGACCGGAAACTGTAGGAGTGCAAAGGGAAGAATTCAGACTAGTAAATAATAAACACTGTCATCAATCAAGCAATTTAAGTGTTTTCTTTTATTTTGCTCCTGCACGTTTGTAAGTGTGTATGTGTTCATCTACCTCATGTAGATTCCCTCCATCTCAAGTGGCAGAACCAATGAATTAATCCAGGTTTCTTATTCCAGAAAATTACTATATCTTTACTTATATCACCATATTCAAACAACACCCCCTAGAACAACCTGGAAGCTGAGGTCAGTTGTCAATAATTTCTACTATATTAACATCCAACCAATTCTATATAGCTTTTGCCTGACCATTTGCTGAATTACAAGCAAAAGGTTAATTGTATGTCATTTTTCCAGTCTTACTTTCTCTTTGCACAGAACAGTTGGCTCCATCTGATGGCCTTAACTAAATGAATCCACCTTTGACTTTCATTAAATGCACTGAAATTAAACTCACCAAAGCTCAATAAACTTTTCAGATATTTCAAAAGACAACTCTTCTTAATTTCATTTCTAAAACTCTAAATGAATACATTCCCCTCTGTTCTACAGCTGGGAATCTATAGATAACGAATCCTATAATCTACTCTAATGATAACTCAGAAACAGAGCCAAAGACCTTAAATTCATAACACTGAACTTAATAATGAAAGGAGAGTTGACATTCAGCCTTTCTTTGGTTTTAGACTCAGCTAATAAAATTACAAATAATATATAATTCCCATGTGCTCAATTAACTCTTAGTAAGCCTTTAAGCTTTGCATATGTGAGATGGCAAGGTTCTTTCCTACATCTATTTTTGAGATATTTTAGCATATTACAATTAAGTGTTCTTTGTTAATTTTTTTATGCACCTAGGAAATTATAGAAAGATTCTGATGACTTAGTACCCCACAAATTTAACCCTTCTGGTATCAGTACAGATTAAGAACTCTATTAGTCAATAATAATTCATTCAGCATCATGACTTTTTTTTTTTTTGAGACAAAGTTCTGCTCTTGTTGCCCAGGCTGGAGTGCAATGGCATAATCTCAGTTCACTGCAACCTCTGCCTCACGAGTTCAAGCGATTCTCCTGCCTCAGCCTCCCGAGTAGCTGGGATTACAGGTATGCGCCACCACACCCAGCTAATTTTGTATTTTCTTTAGTAGAGACAGGGTTTCACTATGTTGTCCAGGCTGGTCTCAAACTCCTGACCTCAGGTGATCCACCCACCTTGGCTTCCCAATGTCAGCATCATGAGTTTAATGAAGCAAAACATTTCCTGAGTCAGTATGGGAGTAAAAAACAAATAAATATGCACCATATGCCATACCTATAGTTATAGCCTTCTCAGTTCAGAGAGATGACAAGGAGACATTGAAAGTTAACAAAAGCCAAAGACTGATGTCTTTTTCTCATTAAAAAATCTAGTGGTAGAACTTAGACTCCAAAGACATATTTTGTAAAGGTTCATCAGCATTACTTAGGAACACCTCTATGTAGCACACATGGATAGCCTAGTCTACTTTGAACTCTGCCTTCTATGAACTCCTGAAGCAGATATACCCCTAATTTCATTTAGGTAAAAATTTAAGTTACCCTGACAGTAGGGAAAAATAATAATTAAGGGTGGGGGACTATAAGAAAGAAATTGTTTTCACATCATAAGCTTTCCCAGTAGGCAAAAATGATGAAAATTTCTACTGTGTTTTCAACCCAATAGTCCATATATATGTCCAGAAGCAGGGAACCTACAGCAACAGTCCCAAGAAAAATTACTTTCCCTGATGGTAACATTCACAGTCTAAAAGGAAAAGAGCAGCAGCAATAGTCATCAGTAGCTCCAAGCAAATCCTTCTTTCTATTTGAAATGTCAATAGGCCACCTACAGCTAAGCCTATGAATCAACCAGACTTCCATTCTGTTTGGCTGCATAAGGACCTATATATGTTAACACAGTGAAACAGTTCAATTCACTTTTTTCAGCAAATTGCAGATAACTGAGATGAAAATGCTTTAGGATTGGGGAGTGAGTACAAGATGGAGGCCTACTATTGGTATAGCTACTTCAATTCTTCATTTCACATTGCCAACAAATATTTGAAATTGTGAAGGAGCCTCCCTTTCACCTTCCTCTTACCATGAGGAGTATCCTTAAAGGAAAAGGAAAAATAGATTAATCTGTATGTTTTCAAAATTCTTCCTAAGGTAGATTCACGGTTCAGTTTTACAATCAACGTAGCACATGTTGTCCATCCAGCAACAGAATTCACACAATAAATTGCTATCTGACATATGGAGTATGAAGTGAATTGCTTTTTTTTCTTTATAGGTATCCTGATCAGAATTTAAAGATTTTTCAGAAACAAAGACCTTCGTGAGGTCACAGGTAGCCCTTTGTTGAGTCTTTTCAGTCCCAGTAACTATATACAACTTAATACAATAAATAATCTCAACGGAATATTTAGACATTGTCAAAGATTGTGTATGTACAATACTGCATTGCTAGCATTAAATGCATTTTCAACTTCCAATATTTTCAACTTAACAATGGCATTGTTAGTTGAGGGGCACATAAATAAGTAATATCACCACAGCCACATATGAGGAATATACATAACAAGCAGCCTGCCTCTCTTTAAAACAAAACAATTATAGAAAGCTAAGAATTCCAAATCGCTCTTCAGCAACTGAGAAATGTAACTCATGGTCACTGTGAGCAGTGGCTAGAACTGACACATTTTGATCACTAAATTGTGTTATGGTGGGAGTCCCCTCCTCCCCATTAATAGCCAGTGTTTCCAATTTTGCTAATGCTTTACTGACATCACAAGCAAAGTGAAAATGACTAAAGACAATGCATGAGTCCCTTGAGCAAGCATCTGAGAAACAAATAGCAATAACTCCTTATTAGCATGACTTTTAGCCATGGATTATAAGTAATGAGTAACAGATGTCTGATCTGGTGTCCCTTTATTACATTATCTTAAGGGAAATTCAGGTTTATTTTCAAGCTATTCTTAGGTCAGGTATTGTAAGGCAAGAAAAGTATTTTTATTAGTGGGAAAGAAATGTTTTTCTAGATGAACCAAGTAACAAAGAGAAGAATGAAAACTTAACAAGAGTGCTCAACCCACACAGAAGAAAGAAGCTTTTTACCTGGAATATGCTGGAATATGGGGGGAAAAAAAACTGCACGGATAAAGAGAAAGGAGAATTGAACTTTGTCTTAGCTCTACCATGGCCCTGTTTGACCCAGAACAAGGCCCAAGAATAAAATGTATTACTGCCTCTTCTACAGCACAGGAATATTATGAGAACTGATAGATGTCAATAAGTGAAAAAGGAAGAACACAGTTAGGTTAAAAAAAATCAAATGAAAAATGAAACTATTTTAGTTTTACCATTTTTCACGTAGTTACAAAATACAGTGGTATTTTTGTGTTCCCTCTTTGTTTCTTGTTATCTCTCTTTCCACCCACCACTTCCCACAACAAATTGAGGGGGAGGGGTGGTAATTGAAACTTCCGTTAAATCAGTCCCATGGAAATGGAGCATGGCAAACCAATACTAACCACAGAGGAAAAAAAACTTAAATGTTTTAATTTGGATGTGAAAATTTCTCATTTAATGAAACTCATGAGTATAATTGGATGCTGAGTCAATGAGCCAGCAAGTATTTATTAAGCACCTGCTAAGTATATGGCATTGCCCGGGCACTGGGGACCAATGAAAAATAAATAAGACCAGATACTTGGTCTTAAGTATCTTAGAATATGTTAGGAACACAGGTTGAAAAATATAATGTAATAAACTGTTAAATTCTAAGACATTTTAGAAAGTAAGAGAAAAAATAATAACTATGATGTCTAATTTCTGGAGTTAAAACTAAATAGAAAGGGCTAAAAGAACAGAAGTGAACAATGGCATAAAAGTTCAGAAGAGAATGAATAGATTTTGTTTTAAAGCCTTTGCATTACACTGGAAGAAGGTAAAGACACTCATTAACATTAGACTATGTTAAGCATACACATTAAGATATCTAAAGAAATCGCTGAAATAATAGACTTGGAGATTTTAACTCCCAAAATAGTAAACGAGAAAAAAGTCATTCTAAAGGAAAACAGAAAGCACAAAGTAAGATTACAGACATGAATTTAAATGTATTGGCAATTCAAACTAATGTAAATAGACTAACAACAGGTTAAAACAAAAATTGTCAAAGTGATTTTTTAAAAAAATATAACTATGTACTGTTTACAAGAGATTCAAAAGAGTATAAGAACATTGGAAGTTAATGTCTAAAAATGACATACAGAGAAATACTCAGCAAAATAAATCTGGTATTAATAGCAGACAAAATGTTCCTTAATCTACAAGTCATTGCTAGACATAAATGCAAATATTGCTAGAGATACAATAATGTAAAAATAATGGATAGAGGTATCATAAATTATTGCTACATAATAGAAATTATATGCAGAATAGTTATATGTAATTACTCATAATTATTAATGGTTAATAGTTGGTGGATGATAATTAGAAATCCATCAAAATTTCAATTCCCCAGGGAGACATAATTTTAAATTGGTATGCACCTTGTAACGTAGCCTCAAATATATAAAATATAAATTGCCACTGTAAAGGGAGATTTTGAAAAATTCACAAAAGTAATTGGAGATTTTAACACATTTATTTTAAAAAGTGATTTACCATACAGTTTTTCTAAATAATTACAGATTTGGACAACACAATTCACAACCCACAAAAATTTCATTATTCTAAAGCATTCAGGAATGTTAACAAAAAGCACATCACCACATCATGGTCATAAAGCAAGTCTTGAAAATTTCAAAAACATTTGTATAATAACTTACTTTCTGATTTAAAAAAATATTAAAAATTAATAGCAAAAATAAAACAATCCAAAAACTCATGTGTACAGTAATGTTAAAATAAGCTTTCCAATAACCTATGTATGGGTCAAGGAAGAAAGAAGACATCAAAATAGGAAAACAAATCATGTACTGTATACTTGAAAATTGCTAGGAGAGTAGATTTTAAATGATCTCGCCAAAAAATAAATAAATAAATAAGGTGACAGATATGTTAAATGGCTTGATTTATTCATTCCATAATGTATACACTTCTATCAAAACATGACTTTTTACCCCATAAATCTATACAGTAAAAAAAATTGAGGCCGGGCGCGGTGGCTCACGCCTGTAATCCCAGCACTTTGGGAGGCCGAGGCGGGCGGATCACGAGGTCAGGAGATCGAGACCATCCCGGCTAAAAACGGTGAAACCCCGTCTCTACTAAAAATACAAAAAAAATTAGCCGGGCGTAGTGGCGGGCGCCTGTAGTCCCAGCTACTTGGGAGGCTGAGGCAGGAGAATGGCGTGAACCCGGGAGGCGGAGCTTGCAGTGAGCCGAGATCCCGCCACTGCACTCCAGCCTGGGCGACAGAGCGAGACTCCGTCTCAAAAAAAAAAAAAAAATTGAATTAAAAAAATTTTTAATTCTTGGAACAGGACCTTGTGTCTAAATGTCTAACCTAAGGCACATATTTTTTCATATTTTAATATCTCTGAAATCAAACTGTATCTTGTAATCAACAACGACTTCTAATTATCGTTGGCCAGATGACATAATTGCCATGATCTGCATATAAGCAATTGTTATTCCCAGTGGAGTGACAAGGAAATAGCATTCTCCATGTTTCAGTCTGCAAACTTGTAGGACCATCTGAGGAAGAAATAGAAATCCTGTTTGTTGACCAAAAAAATCCAGTAGCATATTTCTAGTAAGATCAATAAACTACCAGCAACAAAACTCACAGAATAATTGTCAACAATTAGGAAGCAAATCCCAGGGAAAATAGTAAAGCACTCTATAGGAAATGCTCTTGATTATGTAACGGATACTATAAGAATTACATAATGTGAAGAAATTCAGAAGAGTTGGAATTTGTATGTGGGGAAGTTTAATAAATAGCTTAACCAATGAATAGCTTAAGCAATTTATTTTTATATATACTTTTATGTGTATGCACAAGAAGAATATATGGCAAAATTATGTCTTTCAACAAAATTTTTAAATCTTCCAATAAATAGAAATAAAAAAGTAGACATTATGGGAAGTGATTATAATAGCAGCTTTTCTTTCTTTTACATAAAATAATGCTGTATCTTATAGAAGATGATTATGGTACCACATGTTAAATTTGGTGGTAAAGCTAAGTTACAGTAAGTAGTGGATATTTACAGTAAAGAAATCAAAGCTTGAAAATAAATGAGCTCTGCATCCAAATGAAAAAGTTTTCTAAAAAATGAAAAGAAATTTAATGAAGGAAATCAGTAAGATAAGAGCAAATTTTAATGAAGAAGAAAACAAAGATATGATGAGGAGGGTCAACAAAACTAAAAGTTTTTGAAAAAAAATCCCATAAGATAATGAAAACACATGTGACACACAGGGAGAAGATATTTGTAACATATATACCCAACAAAGAATATGTCCAGAATATAGAAAGAACGCTTACGAATCAATTAAAGAGACAACCCAATAAAAATGAACAAAAGACTTAAAAAGTTGCTTTACAGGATAGTATACATGAAATGCTTCCTATCTTTTTGTTTTGTTTTGTTTTGTTTTTGAGACAGAGTCTTGCTCTGTCGCCCAGGCTGGAGTGCAGTGGCATGATCTCGGCTCAATACAACCTCCGCCTCCCCGGTTCAAGCACTACTCCTGCCTCAGCCTCCTAAATAGCTGGGATTACAAGCATGAGCCACTGTGTCCAGCCTCCATCACTTTTTTCATTCCCAAAAGTTTTATTCGATTTTAAAATGTTTTTTATTTATTTTCATTTATTTATTTTTGGGTTTTTTTCAACTTTAGATTCAGAGGGTTCATGTTCAGATTTCTTACCTAGGTATATTGTGTGATACTGAGGTGTAGGGTGTGACTGATTCCATCACCCAGATACCGAGGATAGTACACAATAGTTTTCCAACCCTTGCCCCCTCCCTCTCTCCCCAAGCTAGTAGAACCCAGTTTCTATTACTGCCATATTTATGTCCATGAGTACCCAATGTTTAGCTCCCACTTAAAAGTGGAAACCTGCAGTATTTAGTTTTCTGTTCCTGGGTTAATTCACTTAGGATAATGGGTTCCAGCTGCATCCATGTTGCTGGAAAGAATATAATTTCATTCTTTTTTATGGCTGTGTAGTATTCCATGGTAGATATGTACCACATTTTCTTTATCCAGTCTACCACTGATGGGCACCTAGGCTGATCAAATGTCTTTGCTATTGTGAATAGTGCTGTGAAGAACATGTGAGTGCATGTGTCTTTTTGGTAGAATGATTGGATTTCTTTTGAAAATATACCCAGTAATGGGATTGCTGGGTCAAATGGCACTTCTGTTTTAAGCTCTTTGAGAAATTGTTATACTGCTTTCAACAATGGCCAAACTAATTTACATTCCAATCAACAATGTATATGCATTCTCTTTTCTCTGCAACCTCACCAGCATCTATTTTTACTTTTTAGTAACAGTAATTCTGACTGGTGTGAGATGGTGTATCACTGTGGTTTTGATTTGCATTTCTCTGATGATCAGAGGTGTGGCACATGTTTTCATGTTTGTTGTCTGCTGTTATGTCTTCATTTAAGAAGTATCTGTTCATGTCCTTAGCCCATTTTAATGGGTTTTTTTTTCCTTGTTCAACTTTTTAAGTTTCTTACAGATTCTGGATGTTAGACTTTTGTCATTGTAGTTTGCAAATATTTTCTCCCATTATGTAGGCTGCCACTTTACTCAGTTGATGGTTTCTTTTGCTATGCATAACCTGTTTAGTTTCATTAGTTCCCATGTGTCAATTTTTGATTTTTCTTCAGTTTCTTTTGAGGACTTACTCATAAATGCTTTTCCAAGGCTGATGACTAGAATGGTGTTTCCTAGTTTTTTTTTTTCTAGGATTCTTATAGTTTGAGGTCTTACATTGAAATCTTTAATCCATCTTGAATTAATTTTTCTATGTGGTGAAAGGTAGGGATTTAAATTGTACAATAAATACAAATTAAAAAGTAGACATTATGGGAAGTGATTATAATAGTAGTTTTTCTTTCTTTTATATAAAATAATGCTTAGACACTATGACTTAATTCATCTCTCTAACACCAGCATAGGTTGAGTCTAATACAGGCAATATAGTATATTTTGTAAGAGCCCAATTTTTTAGTCAGAAAAAGCTGATTTAAATCCTAGCTCTACCTCCAGTTAGCAATAGGAATTTAGGCAAATCACTTAATTTTTCTTTGTATCAGTTTTATCTGAAAAAAGTGTGGATAATAATATCTATGTCTTTTTTTTTTTTTTCTCGAGACAAGAGCCTCACTCTGTCATGCGGGCTGGAGTGCAATGGCACGATCTCGGCTCACTGCAACCTCTACCTCCAGGGTTCAAGCGATTCTCCCACCTCAGCCTCCCGAGTAGCTGGGATTACAGGCGGTGCCACCACCCCTGGCTAATTTTTTGTATTTTTAGTAGAGATGGGGTTTCACCATGTTGGCCAGGCTGGTCTCAAACTCCTAGACTCGTGATCCACCCACCTCGGCCTCCCCAAGTGCTGGGATTACAGGCATGAGCCACCACGTCTGCGATAATATCTATTTCATAAGACAGTTATGAATAAATGTATGACAACTATGTGATTTTTCACAAATTATTTAAAAATCTGAAAACTGAAACACCACCAAGCCTATTATTTCGGAATAATAAATGGTTGTGTGTAGGAGTACAATACAGTAGCCCTTCAGCAAATGTTTGCCAAATGAAAAAATAGGCCTGTCTTCCTTCTCTTCACTCCATAAAAGATGGACTTCTCAAACCACAACCTTCACCACTACCCACACACACACCCTTGTACTACCAAATCTCAGTTCATTCCTCATCTGTATTATGCTAAAAATCTCAGGGTGAAAATATGTCAAATGTTCATTATGGAAATTAGGTTTCTCCAAGAAAGGGTAGGCACAAGACCCAATACAGCGACTGTCCATTTTGAAGCAAGGAACACATACTATTCTCAAATTGGAAAAAAATATGAGAACTAGGAGGACAGTTAAAGTAAATATAGAAGAAGTTGTATGACTTTGTATATCTAAGCTTTGGTTTCATAAGCGTTTGGTCAGATAATATGTAAGGTCCTCTTCAGTTGTCGCATTCTCTTAGCCCGTGTAGGATGCTGACAGTCATTGGGTGCTCAGAAAATAGAATCTAGAAGTAGCAGGGAATGTGTCAAAGCACAATAGTAAACAAACGTTAAAAAAAACCTATTCCATACTGACAAAGATGAAGCTAGACTGCATCATTCATATGGCCCAAGGAGATATCTAAAGAGAAAAATAATGAATAGATATAGATGAAAGAATAATTCTCTCCATTTGTGGGGCTATCAAAGTTACACAGAATGTATGATTACTGATGCTATTACAGTTTTAATACTAAAAAGTAGATCTAATATTATAATTTTATTATATTATAAATCATATTTTTTTATTTTTCAGAAAATATTTTAGTGAGGAGGTCACACGCTATTTTCTTAAATGAAAAATATCATTTTTACATATTTCTTAAGAAACTAAAACATCTTTGGTTCAATTAAGAGTGTGATTTTCCAATATGTCAGAAATTATGGCATTTCTACAAAAATATTCCAAGACCATACCTGATGCATTTGTCACAAATGCAAGCCACTCAAAAACTCACATCGTCTTCATTAAGAATGCAAATAAGTCAAAAAGTAATTGTTTCCACAATGGCCTATAAATAATTTTAGTTTAAGTGAATTATTTACGAATTGAAAATGAAATTACCAGTCTATTTTCTCTTAGTCACTGTACCTATTTTTCCTTCGCTGGCATAAACTTATTATGTTACACAAGTGAAGGGTCTCCACGCTAAATTCAGCCATACTACCTCACTTGTATGCTACTATGACAGAAGAAAAAGCAGATGAACCTAGTTAGAGTCAGACTTATTAACTAGAGTGGGTGTTACATTTGATTTTTCCTATTCAACCAAAAAGTTCCTCACATCTTCAGCAAAATCCCACATACACATGCCCCTACCTCTTCCCCTATGGTCCTCAATGGTTTCCTTGTAAACCACACCCTTCCTGATGATGTGGAGATGTCTTGGGTCACCCACCACCAATACTCAACACACACACACACGCACATACATGTCACAGAAAGTAAGCCTTCATCAAAGTTAGAAAAAACATTTTCTTTTAGACATATTTATCATGTTTTATATTTTTCACAAATGCTACACTGAGGCTTCAGTGGCTGTTAAAGATGACTACAAGGCTGGACTTTGATCAAATAAAAAGGCCTGAATTGTGACTTGGGGTGTACTTCTCATTTCATTTTCCCCCATGACAAGCCAAATGCATATCCTGCATCTGAAATTATGTCTGACTTCTCTAAACCCTACCACCAATGTTAATAGCTGGGTCAAATGTTCAAGCTTTGCTTTTTAGATCAAAGGAAGTTTAGAAGCAAATGGAACTAACCTCGGAGATTACAAAATAAAGGACACTCATTTATAAAATTCAAAATATACGCTACCATGGTTCTAGTTGCATTTTTGAGTATCAGTGTATTTCTTCAGTATTGCCCACAGAATCAAAGAGCTGGTAGAGACTTTGAAAAGTCACCAAGCCACGCTTCAGGTTCTGATGGCATTATACCCTTAGTAGGCTAAGAAAAGAAAATCTACCTCACCAAACAAGTAGCCCCATCTTCTTTTTTTGTCCTATCTTCAGAACTCAAAGCCTCCCCAGTTCATTAGATCCTTCAGAATACAATTAAACCTCTTTTGTTTTGTTTTAGCTTCAAATAAAAACACCTGGTAACATTTGCATAATAACCCTATTAGCTAAAATTATTAATGAATATAAACAATAATAAGGCACAGAAACTGAGGCTATGGAAGGAGAGAAGTATGCATGTTTGCCATGAAAGCCAGCATCATTTTTGGACTTAATTCCATAGTAACTATAAGATAAAAGTTTGGATTTGTTCTTATTTTTTCCTTTTTTTGCTAAGATCTCCTTTCTATCATTCTCCTTCATTGAGGGGGGCAGGGGAGAAGGATGACAAATGTTAGGTAAGAGTCTTGGACTTTCCCAAGAAAGAGGAAATCATGAAGTCACCAATGGTTAGAACATTTCTCTGCTAAATGTGTTCAATTGCTGTGGAAATCCTGTCACCTTCCCTGCTCTCCAGTAAATTAATCCCAACTTCCTGCTCAGTGAACCAGTTGTCAGTGGAGAAGAGGGAAGCAGTGTTACTGAAGCCAGCCTTCCAGGGTGAGCCAACAATGTCTAGTTCTCAGGGCTTTGATCCCTTTCACTTGCTATATCTAAAGGTCCCACAGAGTGCTTTTAGATAGGCTTTCAACGCCATGATAAAAGAGCAACGTGTTCAGTAACAGTTATCAAAATTAGGTCAAGACTGAGACTGGCACCAGGCCCACTTCACATCCAGCTCTCACCCACCCAGAATGTGGCAGTGCTGTCTCCTACTCCCCACCCTAACTCTCCCATAGGTTTGAAAATTTGCCTCCCTTACTCAAAAAGGTAGCACATCTAAGGTAAAACTTTTAAGTAAAATCTCCTTTCATGAGCAATGAATATAGTTCTATTCAACTGCATAGGGTTTTCTCAGCATTTTAATATCTAGACCACAATCACTGTTTATTGGCTCATTCATTTATTGAGAGTGTATTAGGTGTTAGACACCATGCTAGGCTTTGGTTAGGAAAGATGAGCCAAAACATGTGCATTTCCTGTGTTCAGTGGAGCTTACAGTCTATCTAAAGGGGAATATCACGTAAAAGAGTCACAAATATAGTATGTCTGTGTGTGTAACCACACACAGACAGACACGCACATACTTGGTGCTGTGAGAATATAGAAAAGGTTGAGCTGACCTTGTCTGGGAAGTCAGAGAAGGCTTCTCTAATGAAATAGTGATTGAGCCAAGATGTAAAGGAAACATAGAAGCTCATTCTGTAACAAAATCCCTTTCCTCTCTTTTACAAAAATCTATATTTCACTTGGATCAACACTATTCACAGGTTTCCATTAAGAATGAGAATAATCTATCTTCCTTTAAAAAAAAGGTCAGATACTAAAAATGTACAACTCATTTCTCTCTCTGTTGAACAACAAATAGAATATAGATGGGCTTTTCCCCTTTGGCTTTCTAATTGATATTGTTAAATTCATAAAGAGAAATGAATAGACTACTCTTCACATGTAAGGGTTATATTGTTTACTCACCATCAATAGAATACAAATTAGGAGAGTTTTTTAAACATAACAAAACTTTTTTTTTCTTGTCTCATTTTATGGTGACATCCATATTCTTTCTCATTCCACTTTCCTCATCAGCAAGAAATGTATATATCTGTAAAGAGAGTTTACTGTACTTGAGAAGGAATCAGAATCCAACCGACCCCAAAGTGTTCTCAAGTACCTTACCTAGGGTGTCTCAAAAGCAAAATAAAAAATGTATCCTGCAATGAACAACGTATAGCACTGTCTCAATTCTTCCTGAATTCTTTGTAAAGATTCAGCTTGCATTTTCAACCCTAATCCATTTTCTTAACTTTACAATCCCAATCCCTTCCTGAATTCTGACTATACTTTCCACATGTAGGATGTGTCTCACTGTCTTTCTAGACAGTCTTCTCTCCTTAATTCTTTATTAAATTCTGCTGCTCTGATTTTTTGTTAGTGCAACTTATCCAGGATGTTGGCTTGGATGTGGAATCTCAGAGAAACTAGACAGATCAATCAGACCCTATGACAAAGATCCTGTTTCTCATCTATATGGAAATATAAAATATGACCCAGTCATACCTTGAGTGTTTCAGGAGTGATTACAGGGAAGCAAGATAGATCTAGCCCATTACTCTCCCTTGTTTATGATGCCTGTCACTCTATCAGAGAAGAAATGAAATAAGTCTGCCATGATTTGTCTTCACAGTGCCACACTGACTATTTCCTAGTTTATCGTGCATTTTTATTCTCTCCCACATGATGGTCTCATTGACAACTTCATGCAAGTCTGGAAGGAAAGGGCAACTGCCAAGGTTAGTATATAATAAGAGTCCTGAAATCCAGGGAGATCAGGTTTCCAGGACAGGAAACCAAGCACTGCAATCCACAAATGACTGCAGGGTCTGGAAATTGAGGGTCAATTGCCTAGACAAGGAGTCTGAGTAACAGGTATAGAAAACTAAAAGCAAGTAGGATTGCCATACCTAGTCATTCCGTTTTGTCATTCCCTGTGCACTCATGGCCTTTCTATAAAACAGGAAGCCGTTCTCAAGCTCATGTGGCCTGGCTGGAGCGGCAAGTGACAAGCACAAAGCAGAGCAGCATGTGCAACTTGCTCTGGCCCCTGCCCTGTGTAACAGCATAATAAAGAACTTAGTGGATCAACCAATAGTCGATGTTCTCCTGCTGTTAGTCACATGAGGGCATTGTGCAAGATGAAGGTCATCTTCTACCACAATGACGTCTTCAAAATATTAAAGATACTTTCCCAAGCATCCCAAGGGTCTCCTTGACTCTCCATTATGAATCTATCCACAAAGACCTTATTTAAATGATTTTCAAACATAATTATGTATACATACTACACAAACTTTTGTGGGTAATGGATTCTACATGTTTTCAGCTCAGTTTGTATAACAGTATATTTCATTTTATTTGACCAAAAAAGGGGAAAAAAACAGTTTGTTAAGCATCAATATGTAGTAAATAGGAGGCTACCATTCTTGAACACATTTCATCTTCACAGGACTACAGTGATCTCCATTTTACAGGTTAGGAATCTGAAATGCAATGAAGTCAACGGGTTTGTTAGTTGTCAGGGGAGCAGAGATGAGCACAGACATGACAGACGGATACGTCTGACTTTCAATCACCTTCCTGCTTCCTGTTCACCCGCCTACTCAGTAACACAAAAAGAGCCTCCCTGGCCAAGATGGTAGCCTTAGAACATGCTATGATCTCTCCTTCCCACCCCAAATTCCTAGAAATTACAAAATAGCTTGTTGAAACTTAGAGGAAGAATCCTCAGTAAACCTCAAATTCAGGGAAACTATTAGGAATCCTTCAAAGATAGGAGACAGCACCTAAACAAAGAAGGGACATAAAGCTGCAAACACCCAGAGGCACAGACTGGAGCCCTCCTGGCAAATAACACTTCACATGTGTCCAGCTATAGCTGGAGGAATCAGGCTTGTCCTGTGTGACTTCGCTGTGAAAGAATTTTTGGAAGATTGTGCCCAGTGTCCTCCAGACTTTGCCCCATGTGCCTTTGCCCTTTGTTGATTTTGCTTTGTATTTTTTTTTTTTTTTTTTTTTTTTTTTTTTTGCTGTAATAAATCTTAGTCATGAGTATCACAATATGGAGTCCTGTGACTCCTTCTAGCAAATCACCAAACTTGGGGGTGGTCTGGGGGATGCTGACTCATTGACCTACTACCTGACCAGGTCCAAATGACTCTTTGAGCAAACTCAACCAAAGTTTTAAGTAAAAGAAAACTAACTGTAGCCAAGCTGCTCTCAAACATAGAAAACACTATGCTACGTATTTTTTTTTTTTTTTTTTTTTTTTTTTTTTTGAGACGGAATCTCGCTCTGTCGCCCAGGCTGGAGTGCAGTGGCGGGATCTCGGCTCACTGCAAGCTCCGCCTCCCGGGTTCACGCCATTCTCCTGCCTCAGCCTCCCAAGTAGCTGGGACTACAGGCGCCCGCCACTACGCCCGGCTAATTTTTTGTATTTTTAGTAGAGACGGGGTTTCACCGTTTTAGCCGGGATGGTCTCGATCTCCTGACCTCGTGATCCGCCCGCCTCGGCCTCCCAAAGTGCTGGGATTACAGGCGTGAGCCACCGCGCCCGGCCTATGCTACGTATTTTAAAGGCTAATAGAACCAGACAAGGGATATGGAAGAACAGAAAGTTCTCACACAATTTTAATTATGAGCAACATTGTAAAAGTCCTAAATAAATTATTAGCAAATCAAATCTAGCTTTTTATTAAAAGAAACATCATGATCAGGTTGCTCAGGCCAAAAACCTCAACCTCTCTCTCTCTTCCTCTCACACCTTGTATGCAATTGGTCAGAAAACATCCAGTTACCTCTATTTCAAAATAGAAGTGGATGTTCTTCACCCCCACTGCCATCCACCAAGTCAGTCTCAATCACCTCCCTCCTGTATTCCTATAATAAGCTCTTTATATGTCTCCATTTGCTTCCTTTGCTCACCCGCCACCCACACCCCCACACAGTCTATTTGTCCAGAGTGAGCCCGCAGAGGCACAGGCAGGTGATGCCATACCTCTGCTTAGAACCACACAATGTCAGCCCATCTAACTGAGAGTACAAACCCCCCAAACACACTCTGCTCCTTATATGCTTTGCTCCTTCCGCTTGCCATTGTACTTATCTCTTCTAACGAAAAATACAATATTTCATTTATTATATGTATTGGTTTTTTTCTTTTTTTGCTTTCCATCATTAGAATATCAGCTTCATTATGCCAGGAATTTTTGAGTGTTTTGTTCACTAACGTAACTCAAGTGCCTAGAATGGTACCAGTTCCTGTAGGCACTTGATATTTTTTGAATCAGTATGTGACCAAGAATTGAAAAATAGTTCCAGATAAGAAAGATATCAAGGCAATTCACTACACTAACATGTTACACACACACACACACACACACACACACACAAGCTTAATAGATGCTAAAAAGTTTCATTTTTAAAAACCTTACAAATTATAAATAGAAGAAATATTGCCTGTTTTATTAAAGAAATAGCAAACATCATGCTTATTATGAAATTGGAAGCATTTCATTAAAATTAGAGAAAGGAAAACAGATGCTCATTTTCACAGATACTAGTACATATTTTACGGGGTGTCCTAGAAATGTAACAAGACAAGGAAAAAAATATTAATAAAACAGTCTAGGATGGAGACAAATAGTCATTACACAAGATTTTCACTTAATTTAAAAAAACAAATAGAATCAACTGCTAAAATACTAGCACTAAGTTATGTAACAGGACATAAAATCAACATACAAGAATCAGTAATTCTCCTACACAGCAGCAATAACAAATTGAAAAGGTAGTTTTGGAAAGAACATAAAATAGACATTCAGAGCACAGGCTGTAAAATACCTGGGAATAAATCTAACAAGGAATATTCAAGATCTTTATGGAGAAAACTACAAAATGTTTCTCCCTCTCTCTCACGACTCTAACCATGCTGGGCTCTGTACGGTTCTTTGAGCACATCAGGCAGCTTCCCAGCTCACAGTTTTGCACCGGTGTTCCCTCTGGAAAGCAGCTTTTTCTCAAGATGTTCACATGGCTCACTTTTTTCCCTGATTCAAATGTTACTTTATCAGAGAAGACTCTGCTAATCAAACAGGGTATGTGTGTGCATACACCACACACACACACACACACACACACACACACACACACACACACCCCTCTGTTGTTCTGTCATCCTATACCCTACTTTATTGTATCATAATGGAACATATTATACATTTGTTTCTTATTTCTCTATTTTCTCTCTTCCCTCACTGAAATACAAACTACTACTTAAGAGTAGGGGCATTTAAACAATGATGTATCCCTAACACCTAGAACAGTACTCTAAAATAGTATATACTTAAAAATATTTGTTGAGTGAAGGACACACAAGAATATATGAATAAATGAAGGTATACCATGTGCATGGAGAGGAAATGTTGATGGTATAAACAACATAATGATCTTGATTTAACCTATAAATTCAACACAATCTTTCTTTCTTTTTTTTTTCTTTTTTTTTTTTTTGAGACGGAGTCTTGCTCTTTTACCCAAGCTGGAGTGCAGTGGCGCAATCTCGGCTCACTGCAAGCTCCACCTCCCAGGTTCACATCATTCTCCTGCCTCAGCCTCCCGAGTAGCTGGGAAAATTCAACATAATCTTAATCAAAAGCCAAGTAGAATGTTTCCATGGAACTTGATGAGATAATTCTGAAATTCATACAGAAGAGTAAATGATCAGGAATAGACAAAGCCTGGAATTGTACCCTACCAGATCCAAAATATATTACAAAGATATAAGAATTAAGAAAACACAACATTGATTCAGAAATAGACAACTTGATCAATAAAACAGAATACAAATTAGAGAAGTGGGTCAATATTTGTGAACATTTTGTATATAAGAAAAAAACATCAGCATGTCAGATTACTGGAGGAAGGCTTTTAACTAGCTTTTTTTTTTTTTAACTCAAAAACTGTCAAGTAGCTGGGCACGGTGGCTCACACCTGTAATCCCAGCACTTTAGGAGGGAGGCAGGTGGATCACTTGAGGCCAGGAGTTCCAGACAAGCCTGGCCAACATAGTAACACCCCGTCTCTACTAAAAATATTTTAAAAATTAGCTGGGCGTGGTGGCAGGCACCTGTAATTGCAGCTACTCGAGAGGCTGAGGCAGGAGAATTGCTTGAAACCGGGAGGCGGATGTTGCAGTGAGCCGAGATCATGCCACTGCATTCCAGCCTGGGTGACAGAGCGAGACTCCTAATCAAAAAAAAAAAAAAAAAAAAAGTAAAGTGTTTTAGACATACCTCTGTTATACTACTTACAAAATATGACTCAAGATTATTTTTACCTAAGCCTGCCTACCTATTAGGGTTGTTATGAGGATTACATGAGGTAGTGCATGTAAAAGAACAATGAAATGCATTAATATGTCCCTCACATAATAAATCTCAGCAAATTCAGTGTTAATAATTTTTTCAAATTTTTATTATAATAAATAGAAATTTGGTTGATGACAACCATCAAATCTTATTCTTTGTCTTTTAGTACTTATACTGTTTGCTGAGTTAAATCAGAATCCAGTCTGCTACTTTCTCTTATCTTGCTTTATCATCATTTACTTCCTTCTATATCTTGATTTTTTTTTTTTTTAGACGGAGTTTCGCTTTTTTCGCCCTGGATGGAGTGCAATGGCACAATCTTGGCTCACTGCAGCCTCTGCCTCCCAGGTTCAAGCGATTCTCCTGCCTCAGCCTCCTGAGTAGCTGGGATTATAGGTGCCCGCCACCACACCCAGCTATTTTTTGTATTTTTAGTAGAGACGGGGTTTCACCATGTTGGCCAGGCTGTCTCAAACTCCTGACCTCAAGCAATCCGCCAGCCTCGGCCTCCCAAAGTGCTGGGACTACAGGCGTGAGCCACCGTACCTGGCCATCTAGATTTCTTTTAATAATTGTCTCTAAAAGCAATGTTCCACACACAAATATGACATAGTTAAATATAAAATTAATAGTTTTCATAAGCCACTTTAAGTGTGGAAAATGAAGATAGAAAGCTTCAACTATCTTTTTTAACACTGAAGAAATTTACAGGCAGTAAGGTATAGTCCCTTCTAGTTTCACAGATTGGTATGTCTGTCTACTTAAGGCTAAACCCCTGCTGGGAATATAAATTGCTACAGAGAGCAAAATGTTTTAAGTTTTTCTTATCTTAAATTGAGAATTATCTAACAAATGTATCTATATTTTCCAATAATATCTACATAAAATGACTTCTAAATCTGAACTTAGTTAAAATTTTTGTCTAAGGAGTCAAAATGTATGGGGTAAGTTAGTGATTTGTCAAGATTAATGAAGCTGCAGAATAAATCTGATGCATCTTGTTGGCCTCGAATATAAAATTAGCCAGGAATAATCAATACTGATATAAATCAAGAACAGATCATGTGTTAAATGTGAAACTTTTTTTTTTTGAGACGGAGTTTTGCTCTTGTCTCCCAGGCTGGAGTGCAGTGGTGCGATCTCGGCTCACTGCAACGTCCGCCTCCCAGGTTCAAGCAATTCTCCTGCCTTAGCCTTCTGAGTAGCTGGGACTACAGGCACGTGCCAGCATGCCCGGCTAATTTTTGTATTTTTAGTAGAGACGGGGTTTTACCATATTGTCCAGGCTGGTCTCAAACTCCTGACTTCATGATCCACCTGCCTTGGCCTCCCAAAGTGTTGGGATTACAGGCATGAGCCACTGCGCCCGGCCAAAACTTTTTATATTTAGAGGTCAGTGAACAACTGATTTAGAATTTTAGGTAATGTAGCAATGGTTTGTTTAATTAGTAGGGACCCCTTCTAAATTCAATTAGTATAGCCACCTAGAATAATTATAGTACTTGGGAGAAACTACAAAATAAGAACAATATAAAACCCAAGCTTAGATGGCTTTTACTCTATACTAGAAGAAGCATTGTTTCTTAATGATTAATAATCATTAGCTAAAATCACAGAGTTTATCAAAAAAATGTATTCATCTTTAAAGCATCTGTAGGGCAGTAATACACCCCTGAAGCTTTTTTAAAAAATTACTCTTGGCTTTCATCCCACAGTATAATCTTGAACAGAGAAGCAACAATGTTAGCCTCAAACATCCCAGCTAAAATCCCTCATCATTTATATAAAAATCAAAAATTAATTCTCACTTCAGCCTCAAGCTTGAGAAAGTATCAATAAACACATTCACAAAAATCCCAGTAATGAATGTAATCAGAGTGAAAAGGGCTGAATTTTCAGGAGTAAATGAACACCACTCTCATGTGCTTTCTTAAAATTGAAAAATACATCAAAGATTATTACAAAAATTAAATTTGCTAATGATGTATAAAGAGCTCTTGCATGCTAACCATATGCCTTCCACAAAAATAGAAATCGTTAATAACCATCTCAACTGAGTTACTCGTGGTGAGTCATCATTTATGTTGGCCTAATGTAGTCTGAGATAGTCTCACTCATGTTTATATTTTCTGGAAGCCCCAAAGCCACCCTTATAAATTGAAAGAGACACAGTAATAGAGATAGAGAATGCAACAAAGATTCTGTATCATCATAGAACTCCAATCACAGAATAAATTAAATAAAACTGTACTCAGAGAGACAGTTGGAAACAGATACTTAAAATAATGATCTTATATAAAACTTCATTAAAAAGGAGGGTGGAGTATACTGTGGTTTTATAATCATTTTTTATAAATGATCAGCACTGTTAATTTCCTAGGAATTTTCCACTGGAAGAGACAAAAATCTTATTGATCTCTCTCTTCTCACATTTACATATATTTTACATGTATACAAAGCATATTACATGTATGTGTTTCTTTGGAGGTCCTTTGCCCCTTCCACCATGTGAGGACAAAACTAGAAGACACCATCTATGAGGAAGCAGACTCTTACCAGACATCACTGGTACCATGATCTTGGACTTCCCAGAACTATGAGAAATAAATTTCTGTTGTTTATAAGCTCCTCAGACTATGGTAATTTCTTACAGCAGCCCAAATAGACTAGACAACACTCATGAGATACCCACATGCCGAACGTGCATACCTCGCCATGTGGGCAGTGAGGACAGGCTGGAAGCGATTTCTCAAACATAAATTATCAGGCACATTCCCAATGGATTTGGGATTTTACGTTCCTTGAAGAATGGAGGCTTTGTTTTAGTCACCTTGTATTTCCAGAGCTGAGCCAGTGCCTGGCACAGAACAGACAATAAGTGTCTTACGGAATCAGACCAATGCACCACAGGTGTGAACCAGAGATCTCCCTGCTCCAGTTAAGCAATATGTGAAAAGTCACATATGCCTAACTGGCTTTGCCACTTTGTAACTGGCCAAACTCATGTGAGATTCTTACTAATTATTTGTGTAGAACTAATTGTGCTTTTTTCCTGTTTGTTGAATTCATGTCATAAACTCACTATTTAAATTTGCATATTCTTCTAAGTTCTTCCCTTCCTGTTTCTTGAGAGCGGGGACTATATGTTTTGGCATGACACATTGAATAGAATATTTCAGGTCTATAAGGTTCCAAAACTACTGTCATTTTTGGAAGAAACGTGATGAAAACATACTACAGAATACTATAGTAAGAAATATAATTCTTATGGGTAGCATGCTTATATTCTTTCCCAGTAGAGTTAAAGGTTACAAATGCCATTAAAAATGCACATATAATATTTAAACAAGTGAATGCAGTAAAAGTAAAGGTAGAATTATTTATCTTCTGCACTCCTTTAGAACAAGGGCTACATACTATTATTCTTTGAATCCTGATACTGAATACATAGCAGGACCCCAATTTACATTGAAGTGAAAGTATACATAAATGGAAAAAAATGCTATTCCAATAAGCATTTATAAAAGCTATTTATGAAAGCACCAATAGTTTGGTAACAATCAGTGCTTAAAAACAGTAATAAAATCTTTTTATCGAACATCTACTTGATATTAGGCAGTACTATCAAAGTATTGCACGTACATTACTTCATTTAATCTTAACTACAACTTTAATATGAGATAGGTGTCATAACCCCCACGTGATAAATGAAAAACTGTGTTTTAGAAATGAGTGACTTGCCAAAGTCACCTGCATAGTAAGTGGCTTAGCCAGGGTTTCTTTTTTTCTTTTTTTTTCTTTTTTTTCTTTTTTTTTTTTGAGATGGAGTCTCGCTTTGTCTCCCAGGCTGGAGTGCAGTGGAGATCTTGGCTCACTGCAAGCTCTGCCTCCCGGGTTCACACCATTCTCCTGCCTCAGGCTCCCGAGTAGCTGGGACTACAGGCGCCCGCCACTACGCCCGGCTAATTTTTTGTATTTTTAGTAGAGACGGGGTTTTACCGTGTTAGCCAGGATGGGCTCGATCTCCTGACCTCGTGATCTGCCTGCCTCAGCCTCCCAAAGTGCTGGGATTACAGGCGTGAGCCACCACGCCCAGCCAGCCAGGGTTTCAATCCAAGTGTGGCTGATGTTCACGTTCTTAACCACAACCATACCCCAAATAATTGGTTAATTGGAGGAACACTACCAAAAGGAAGACACAATTAAAGAGAAGGACAATAAATTTCTCAGGCATCCAAATTCCTTAATGTGTTCTTTATAACAATGTCAAACAATTGGCATCTTCTTAGGGTCACTGCTTAATTTTATTAGACAGAACAAACCTGATGTGAGAAATAATTAACTTCGAGGGAAAGCCCCTGGTTCAATGAAGCCTTTTTATTAGAACAGTAAAACAATTAAGTTTGTTGTGCCATTGACGTGCCTTCTCTGATTTCTGATGAGAAAAAATGTCTTTTTCCACTGCCATACAAACAGTGGATTCTGAAAACCTCCAAGCCAGAAAACACTACTAATGAGATTTGAGAACACAGAGGGGCTCTGAGACTGCATGTTTGATTTGAAAGGAGAGAGCACAGCTCCAACGGAGGGTCATGCCAATATTCCTGCAGTGTGGCACAGGTGCAAATAAATGCTGAGGCTCTGAAAACAGTCTTCTCATCGTTTACGGCTCTCAGTCCCAACAAATGATTGATTTATCTCAACTGTTAAGGAAAGAGGTCCAGACAAAGTTAAAAATAGCAGAGCCCACATTGTATACCAAGGCAATTTTTTAACAACTTGATCACTGACTGAGAAGAATCCTGAAAATTCTAGAATTCATGTGGGAGCTAAAGAGGTTCATTTTCTAGAAATGCTAGAAATTAGAGTTTGATGATTTCACACCAATGATATTGGAATACAAACTAACATAAAAACTGCAACTTACTCTATAGTTTAAAATATATTTAACTGCCCTGAGAGGAGATATATTAGAAAATGATGACACTTTGATTTGCCATAGTCAGTGTAAGATCTGCTGTACCTAATACATAGCTTTACATTGTTATATTCCTTCTTTTGTTCTGTGTTGAATTACCTAATTTATTTTTACGAGACTGAGCTCTGCTTATTTCATTGCAAGACCTGAAATCATGTGTTTACTGCTCCCTACTCAATTTATCTTTAAAGAGGGACATAAAAGGCAGAAATGGTTTGTTAGGTTTTTTTTTTTTTTTTGCTTTATCTCAGATACAGAGCTTTGCCCAAGATATCCTGCATCCACACAAATGCTGATAATTAATGATGTGAATCAACTGAAATCCATATACCTCTTTATTAGAAAAGCAAAATCTGACCTGAAGACTGAAAGTGTCCTGTGAATGAGAAATTTATCTGCACCAAAATCCAGCATAATACCAAGAATAAAACCCTTTCTAATTGTACATGTAAAATCCTGATTAATACTTGCTCTGACTATTTATTAGAAATGAGATGAGAGAAGAGTTCATTCAATATGCCTGGCTGCAAATGGACCAAGCACTCTGACGTGGTACTCTTTCACTGACCCATGTTCACAAATTCATTTAACTACTTGGACATCATCCTCTTAATTCTTAAAACCCAAAGCATACCCCACATTATTCTTAATACCTTAACATTCCTATGGCTCTTTTCTTTTAACATCTAATTGATTTTCCACTGAAATTTCTTTCAAAAGACTGAACTGGAATCCGATTACTCCAAGAAGGATCATATTAACAGTCAAGAATTCAGTTCCTAATCTTTCTATCAAAAGAGGGAAATGCTGTTCAGCATGAGGCAGGGGCCATTTAACCTTCCTCTTTCTCTGCTGTTCCATCTGTCTAAAGGATCCTGGTATAGAGTCATGACTAAAACCATGGCTTTGGCATCAGACTGGCCTATATTCTAATCCTTACTAGATGTGTGATTTGGGATGAGCCATGGGAAGTTTAAGGTATTCTCTTTGCCTCATTTTCCTCATCTGAAGAATGTTAATAATAATGTTAAAGTATTAATTGAATTAAATAAGAAAGTGTTTGTGGGAGCTCTTAGTAAACTTTAAAGTAACTGACATATAAGTGTTGGTTACATATCCTGGCTCTGGGTCCCATTAAAAAGAAGCCATTTCTACAATGTAATGTACAACATACAACTCTACAAGTACAGAAGGCCCCAAAAGCAAGAAACCATAAAAGAAAAGGTCTGTTTGACCATATAAAAATTTAAAATTTCTACGTGGCAAATAATAAATAAATAAATAGTTACTAAAATAGGACCGAAGAATCAATTGTTAGCTGGAAAAACTATTTGCAACACGTAAGATAAACGAAAGGCTTATATCGCTAATATGTTTTTTAAAAAGATCATAAAAGTTAATTTAAAAGAAACAGCATACTAATAAAAACAATGGATAGAGGACATAGTAGGCAATTTGCAAAACATACAAATGGTCAATAAACATAATAAATACATTCAACCTCACTAATCACTGAATATCCAAAATAAAAACCATACAATAAATTCAAATTCAGACAAGCAGAGGTATTTTTAAATGGGCAAAATCACCATTTGCAAGGAATAAGAGAAATGGACACACTCAAAATATGTCAGTAGACTGTTAAGTCATTACAGTCTTTCAGGTTTGACACTATATATCCAATAAAAAAAATGCGTAACCTTTGTGCCAAAAATCTTCTAGAAATTTGCTCCCAAATAGGTAATTGTCCATGTACCAAAATACTTATGAAAATCATTTTTATCATATTATTTTTAATATTAATATTGGAAGTAATTTAAATGTTCTTCAATATAGAATTGCTTAAATAAAGAATGTTACAGCCATACAAAGTAGCACTATACAACCAATCCAAAAACGTGGTATATACTTGTATTTGCTGCCACAGAAAAATATCCATGACACACTGTAGGCATAGAAATTGATTACAAAAAGTGTAGTATAGTTTCATACATAAAAATGCTATATTTATATATATACATGTGCCTAGAGAAATATCAGAAAGTATATTCACTCAAATGCCACTAGGTAATGAAGCTTCCAATTATTCTGATTTCTCATTTGTATTTTCTGTATTGCTTCATTTTTCTTCACGAGTATGTATTATTTTTACAATCAGAGAAAATGAAGCTATTTTCATTTTATTAGAAAACAAATATACTACTTCCCTAGAGATAATATTTTAATAATGATATAACTGCTCTAGGTCTTTTTCTATATGTTTTATAAAGTTAGAAATGCATTTCTGGGACTCACAGGGATAAAACGAAATTGGAACATTGCAGAGATGATTAAATTGAGAGCATCTCACATTCCAAACTTGAAAAAGGCTGCCTTACCAAGTTCCACATCTTACTAGCTGGGTGGCTTTCTGCAAGTTACTTAATCTCTGTGCGCTCAATTTTCTCTCTTCTGTAAAATATGGGTAATAATAACACTTATCTAGTAAGATTACTATTAGGATGAAATGAATCAATGTCTTTAAAGCTCTTAGATTTATAGCTGACATCCTAGAAAAGAAGTCTGCCGTTCATTGTAAAATGAAATCATACACAATATCTACGTGGCCCATCATGAAAGTACTGATTACTCTTATTATCATGTGTCACCTAAGGACACTGTGAGAGGACTAATAATTTTTGCTGTCCCAGAGTATTGACAGTCAAATAGTCTACTGAGTGTGATTACATTTAAATATAGCATCATCAAACCAAGCGGGGAGAGAGAGAGAGGTCAGCGAAGGCGTACCAGAGAGCCAAAGTCCAGGATATCTGAGGTTGTCCAATTCTGGCAAGGTGATATCAATTACTTTGACAAATCAATAAACTTCTATATTAAACTATTACTACTACCTTGCATTTATACAGTGCATGAGAGTTTTGGGGGAACTTGCCCATCTCCATGATGAGTTGGCAGTCTTTCTGATCATGCTGCCAGTTGAATGTGGGAATGGAGACTGTGCTCAACCAGCACTTTAGGATACCAACTCCTATGGGGGCAAATGGTACAGGGAAGCTAGAGGCTTAGGAAGAATGATGTGGAGGGATAGGGAAAAGAAGGCAGGTCATGGAGAGAAAATAGCCAGGATACTAATGTATGTCAGTAGCAGCAACAGATTAGCAGCCCCCAGAGAAGAGTTTACATCGTTTCTGAAATTCTCTACTAAACTCTGGAAAACTTACTCTGAGAACAATAAAAAAATGGGAAAAATGAACCTTTCAGGTTAAAGCAGGGATGCAGGGTGGGGTAAACTTTTTCATTCATTTATTCCAATGTGTCAACTGTGCTAAGTGCTAGGCTTATAATGGGGTACAAAACCCTCACATAACCTCCAGTGTGATGCCCTGCCTACTCACCTGCCTTACACCTCCCTGAGTTCCAAGATAATCCCTCAAGAATCTTCGACCCGCCTGTGCAACTTAAAAATCACTAGATTCAGTGTTGTTCTGGGTTCAAAAAAAATGCTTGAAACAAACTGATTTAGGGTATGTTTGTATCAAGAAATAAAAATTACAATCTTGAAAATGAGAGTCATAAATCATGAAATCTGAAAGACCAATCAATTATTCAAAGCCATTAGATCTGGCTTTATGCAATAAAGATCTGAATTTACACAATAAGGAAAAAATACTGTCTGAAAATGAAAATAGAAACACAGAGATATACATATTACCAAAACTCCCTAAGTCAGAGGTCATGCATTCATCTATAAACTTATGAAACATTCTTATTACACAAAGAAATTATGCAAACTGCAAAAGAGCTTTTTGTTTCAATAAAGCTATTAAATGCATTAATTGCTCTGTGTTATTACTTAAAGGCAGCACAATTAATTTGTCATTCCTACCAATGCCTATGTGTTTTTGTATGGCTCTCTCTCTTTAGCTATCCCAAAGTACTTTCCTAAACATTTATTTTATTTTTATCCTTTGTTGTAGAGCTGCAAAACGTGTTTCATCACAGACTGGGGAAGCTGACATAAGTTCAGAAACAAAAAAAAAGTCAAATGTGGTTCAGCATGTTCCGTAATTAAACACAGTTGCAGGAATGGGAGGCTTCGTTTTTCACTCTCTTGCTATCAAAAACTTACCCACTGATCCAAAGTAAAAATAAGAGCTAAAAACCTGTAACTTTTCTAAATAGAAAGAAGATAAATTAAAATCTGTTCTTTAAAATACAGGAAAGTATGATTTATGTTTTCATGATTTTGAAGGTACAGTCTCAAAACCTTAACTGAATGCATAATGTCTAACAGACCATTAAGTAATGGGAAGAAAATGCCAAGTAAAGGGAAGAAAATGTTTTCACTATCACCTAGAAATTGAATGTGATGGAGAAGGATTTGGAGATGACTTCAGCCTGGTTTTATCAAATTATGAATCACCAGCATTCTGGGAAATCTGGACTAAGCCATATGATTTCTCATAGCCATAAATGACCCAGGAAAGCTCTACACCTCTGGACATAGGAAGAACAGACAACCATCCTGCAGAAATCAGAGCAAAAAACACCCTGAAACAACTTCCCAACCATTTCACTGGCTGTTCTGAAAGACTTGAATGAGTCACGACTGACCTGGCTCTTGGGGTTCACCAGCCTAGTTATGACCTGATTTCACAATGGACAAAGAAGGACAGATCTTTTTATCTAACAGCCTTGTGGAGCAAGATTTGATGAATAAAATACATCTTAAGTTGACCTCTTTTGACAGGAACAGACACATAGGGGCTGGATTTTGAGTATTCTGAGAATAGTAACAATAATTTTGTACTTAAAAGCTTAAAACATGCTTGCAATGTTATTTGACTAGATCTCATAACAACTGTGTAACATAGGTAGGACTATATAATTATGTCTAGAACCAGAGCTCTTTTTCTGGCTTATTATCCTATGATATAATAATGCAAATGATATACATTCTGGGTTCCACCTTATACAGTGCATTTTTAGATTCAGTTGCATATAGGGGTCTTCCTTTGTAATCCCTGAGGTTTTGAGGAAAGGAAAATAATTTTACTTGATTTTTTTAATCCTTAGACGTAGATAACTGCATTTATATCTATATCTATAGCTCTATCTATAGCTACATCTACATCTTTATCTGTATGTGTATCCATCTACATGCACAAAGATATGTCAAGGAACTGAAGACACAAATATGTATGCAAACATAAATTTACATTATATAGTAGACATGCATATATATGAAATATTCCAAATAAGCATGTGACTTAATTATTAATAGTTAAATTAACACCTATAAATTCTTTGTTCTCAGTTAAGCAAAGTGTAATAGAATAAAACCAAAGCACATTTTCAACATGTTAAGTGTTGGTTGTATCTAATATCCCTGATGAACATAGATGCAAAAACCATCAACAAAATACTAGCAAACTGAATTCAACAGCATATTAAAAGGATCATACACTATACGCCATGATCAAGCTGAATCTATTTCTAGGATGCCAGGATGGTTCAACATGCACAAACCAAAAAATATGTTACACCACATTAACAGAATGAAGAATAAAATTTTCATGACCATCTCAGTAGATGCAGAAAAAACATTTGACATATTTATTGATAAAAACTCTCAACACATTAGGTATAGGAAGAATATACCTCAACTCAATAAAGGCTATATATGGCAAGCCCACAGCTAACATTATATTCAACGGTGAAAAGCTTAAAGCCTTTTCCGTAAGATCAGAAAAACAAGAATGCCCATTCTCACCACTTCTATTCAATATAGTACCTGAAGTCTTAGAGCAATTAGGCAAAATAAGTAAATAACATCCAATTTAGAAAGGAAACAGTAAAAGTGTCTCTGTTTGCAGACCTTATATATAGAAAACCATAAATCTTATATACAGAAAAACATATATCTTATATATAGAATAATCATAAAGACTTCATGACAAAGCTGTTAAAGCTAAAACAAATTCAGTACAGTTGCAGTATATGTTATCAACAAACAAAAATCAGTTGTGTTTCTATACACTAACAATGAATTATCCAAAACAGAGATTAAGAAAGCAATCCCATTCACAATAGCATCAAGGAGAATAAAATACTTAGTAATAAATTTAACTATGGAAGTGAAAAATCTGTACACTGTAAACTATAAAACAGTGGTGAAAGAAATTGAAGAAGACACAAATAAATGGAAAGACATCCCATGTTCACAGATTGAAAGAATTAATATTGTCAAAATACCCACCAAAGGAATCTACACATCAGATTCAATGCAATTCCTATCAAGATTCCAATGACATTTTTCAGAAAAATAGAAAAACAATTATAAAATTCATGTAACCCATAAAAGACCCTGAATAGCTAAAGCAATCTTGTGCAAAAAATACAAAGCTAGAGGCATTATTCTCTCTGATTTCAAATTATATTACAAAGCTTCAATAATCAGAATAGTATGGTACTGGCATTAAAACAAACATGTAGACCAATGGAACAGGACAGAGAATCCAAAAATAAACCCACACCTGTAAAGTCAACTAATCTTCAGCAAAGATGCCAAGAGTACACAATGGGGAAAGAACAGTATCTTCAATAAATTGTTTTGGGAAAACTAGTTATCTGCATACAAAAGAATAAAATTGGGACTTCATCTCACATCATATCCAAAAATCCACTCAAAATGGATTAAATACTTGAACATAAGAATTGAAATCATAAAAGTCCTAGAAGAAAACATGGAGGGAAATTTCCTTAAAATTGGTCTTGGCAATGATTTTTTTGATATGACACCAAAAGTACAAGCAACAAAAGTAAAAACAAACACGTGGGACCACATCAAACAAAATAGTTTCTGCACAGCAAAAGAAACAATTATCAAAATGAAAAGGCGACCTACAGAATGGGAGGAAATATTTGCAAACCACTAATCTGATAAGAGGTTAATATCCAAAATATATAAGGAACCCATACAACTCAAAAGCAAAGAAACAAATAACCCGACTTTAAAATGGGCAAAGGACCTGAATAGTCATTTCTAAAAAGAAGACATACGAATGGCCAAGAAGCATATGAGAAGGTACTCAACATCATTAGTCATTAGGAAATGCAAGTCAAAACCACAATGAGATGTCACCTCACACATGATAGGATGCCTATTATCAAAAAGTCAAAAGATAGCAATTGTTCACAATGATATGAAGAAAAGGGACCACTTATACACTGTTGGTGGGAATGTAAATTAGTACAGCCATTATGGAAAACCGTATGGAGGTTCCTCAAAAAATTAAAAATAGAACCACCATATAATCCAGCAATCCCACTTCTGGGTACTTATCGAAAAGACATGAAATCAGTATTTTGAAGAGGTAGTTGCACTCCTTTGTTCATTGCAGCATTATTTACAATAGCCAAGATATGGAATCAACCTAGTGACCATCAACAGATGAATGAATAAAGAAAATGTCTATATATTTTTAAGTATTATTAAGCCTTGAAAAAAAGAAAATCCTGCTGCCATTTGCAATAACATGGATGAACCTGGAGGACATTATGTTAAGTGAAACAAGCCAGGCACAGAAAGACAATGCATGATCTCACTTACAAGTGGAATCTGAAAAAGTTGAACTCATAGAATCAGAGTAGAAAGGTAGTTACCAGGTACTTAGAAGTGGGGGAAATGGGGAGATTTGATCAAAGGGTATGAACTTTCAGTGATAAGATGAATAAGTTCTGAAGACCTAATGTATAGCATGGCGACTATAGTCAATAATAGTGTATACTTGAAATTTGCTAAGAAAGTAGATCTTAAGTATTCTTACCACACACATAAACATAAAAGGTAACTGTGAGGTGGTGGATATGTTAATTAGCTTCATTGGGATAATCACTTAAGAATATACATATTTCAAGACATCAATCTGCACATTTTATATATATATAAAATTTTTATTTGTCATAGTTCTGTGAAAACATAAAAATAAACAAACAAGAAATTGATTGTTTGCCCTGGTGCCTGTAGACCACATTTTGTTGGTTAACCAGAATTTAGATCTATCACTAAGACTAAGGGAGAGAATACAATATAAATTACTGTTTAACTAAAAGACATATGTTTTGCTAGCCCACTTCAACACTAATTAAAGCACACATTCATTTTAAAATGAAAATAAACTACAAAAGGTTTAAAACAAACTAATGTATGGCATTAAACCATATGGTCTTTCTTTTGTGTAACTGTAGCTTGCATATTTAACTCTTCATCTAAATGTTTCCTTCTCCTCTTTCAAAATTCTCCCAAAGTATACTATTATATTTATCCTTTCCTCTTGAGTGTTATAATGAATATTCTTCAGCATCAAATTTTTGTCAGCCTAAAATATACTTACATATGTTATATAGGTATACAGATTTTGATACATACTCGTTCTGCATTTCACAGGTAAAGACAGAAAAATAAAATATTAACCAACCCCATCTCAGCACCCCTGGCACATATACCTGATTTCTTTTAGTTTTTACATTCCCAATAAGCAGCCATTGTCCTTTGTGCCCACATGTGTATGATCCACAGTCTGGATCATAAGACCACAATAAAGCTTGTAATCAAGCCTTGTAGACATAATTGTGTACTCTGAAGTTAGATTCCCAATTATGGATTTCCACAGACTATAAATAATAGTTAAATGGTTGAGTGCTCTCTGACATAAAATTAAAGAAGAAAGAAATTCCCACATTAAGAAAAACACGACTTGGAAAAATCAGATAAAAGTCCTTACAGTGCTGGCATTTTTTGTCAATGTATAAATTAGAGGCATAGACAAGGTATTCTTCTCACCATTATAGACTTGCACAAGCTTTAAGAATGACAAAGGCCATATATTGATAAATATTGTACGAATGCTTCATATATGCTAAAGTAACATACAATAAGCATTTCAAAATGTTTCAGCAGAAAATATTGCAAGTGGATGGTATAGAAGGAAAATAAGGGGAGATAGAAAAATAAATGATGCAAGGAAGACAAGAAGGATAGGCTTGCATCAGCTCTAGAGAATTAAAGAAATTAGTGCTAAGATATTTGATAAGCTAGAAGTATACCTTCGTAGTTGCTCTGATAAGTTCTTGAAACTTTTAGGTGGTCATCAGCTCAAACCACTATGTTGGATTTAGTTTAAAAAGCTGCCGGTATCTCAAAGCATAAATGAGAATTTTTTCCATGCAACTTAGGAAATCTAAAGTCCCCAAAGAAGTAATGCTTGTGCACATGCACACACACGCACACACACACATGCACACGCATACATAAAATGCTAAGGACAACAAAAAGGAGAAAGAAAGAAGAGCCTTGGTGTCTTAGTCCATTTGAGCTACCATAACAAAAAGACTGAGTGGCTTGAACAACAGAAATTTATTTTTCACAGTTTTGGAGGCATGAAGTCTGAGATCAGGGTGCCAGCATGGTCAGGCTCTGGTGAGGGCCCTCTTCCTAGCTTGCAGACAGCCAGCTTCTCACTGTGTCTTCATATGGTGGAAGAGAGTCCTGTTGTCTCTCCCTCTTCTTATGAGGAGACCAGCTCCACTGGATCAGGGCTCCACTCTCATTTAACCCATTTAATCTTAATTACCTTCTTAAAGGCCCTGTATCTCATACAGTCACATGAAGGGTTGGGATTTAACACATGAAATTGAGGGAGACACAATTCAGTCCACTGCATCTGCTTCTTTGGTTATGGGTCAGTGTTGATGAATGATGCAGAGGACTCACAAGTCCTTGACTCCTGCTCTGCCTGTCCCCATTTCACACAGAATGACAGATTATAACGAGCAGAATGTGGATTATAAGCACTGCTGAGAGATGATATAAACCCAATAAAAGGCAAACATTTAAAAAGAAAACAAAAGCTCAACAAGAAGAAAACAATCAGATTCAATAAAGGGCAAAGAACTTGAATAGACCCTTCTTCAAAGAACATATACAAAAAGCCAATAGTCACATGAACAGATGTCCAACATCAATAATCATTAGGGAAATGCAAATCAAAACTACAATGAGATACTACCTCACACCATTAAGATGGCTACTTGCAGAAAATAACAAGTGTTGACAGGGATGTGGAGAAACTGAAACCCTTGTGCACTGTTGGTGGGAATGTGAAATGGTACAAGCACTGTGGAACACACTGTGGTGGTTCCTCAAAATATTACAAATAAAACTACCATATGATCCAGCAATTTCACTTCTGGATAGATATCCAAAAGAATTGAAAGCAAGGTCTCAAGGAGATATTTAGACACCCATGTCTATAGGAGCATTATTTACAGTAGCTAATGTGGAAGCAACCAAGTGTCCATCAACAGATGCATGCATGAACAAAATGTGGTATATACATACAAAGGAATATTGTTCACCCTTACAAAAGGAAAAATTTGACATATGCTACAAAATGGAGAAATCTTGAGGACACTATGCTAAGTGAAATAATTCAGTCACAAAAATACAAATACTTTTATTCTACTTCTATGAAGCACCTAAAATACTCAAATTCATAGAGACAGAAAGTCGGATGGTGGTCTCCAGGGGCTGAAGAAAAGGGGAATGGAAGCTATTGTTTCATGGGTAAAGAGTTTTTGTTTTGCAAGAGTTATGAGGCTATATAGGGGTTAAGGATGTACAACATTATGAATGTATTTAATGCCACTGAACTGTATCCTTAAAAATTGTTAAGATAGTAAAATTTATGTTACATATATTTTACTGCAATTTAAAAATGATGGGTTGTGAAGAAAACAAAACATTAATAGCTCTAAATGAGTTCATGTGTTCTAGCCCCATCAGATTTCATCCCGACACTGTGAAGAACGTGCCAGAGAGATAACTATGCCACTGCCAGCTATGTTTGAAAAAGAGTTGGTAAAAGACTAGAAATAAGGCAAACCCAACTGTAGTTTTCAAATAAGAATATGAAAATATGGTGAATTCCAATAGGAGACCAGTGAACTAAGCATTCCTGGACAAGATTTAGAATGGATAAGCATCCAGAAATAAGAGGAGTCAGCACATGATCCTGCAGAAGTCATGCGGTGATAACCTCATTTCTTGCTTAATAGAGTTAACATGTTTTTCAGATTTATCTATACTTTGGTGAGGTGCTGAAAAAGATCTTCAATAATAGCCTAGCAGGGAAGACTGGATGCTCATTCAGTTAGGTAGATTCTTAATTAGTTGCAGGACCTTACCAAAAGATTATGACTGACAATTAATGAGCACCTGAATAGAGGTTTCTAGAAACAACAGCAAATATTTATTTAGCATTTACAATGAGCCAGGCATTATTTGGAGCATTTTATATGAATTAATTTATCGGGTTTTCACAACAATCCTATAAGATACGTAATAATATTACTACCCCATTTTACCGATGCGGTAACTGAGGTTTAGGGGTTTGTAAGAGCGTTTGCCCCCAAGATTACATCAAATCTGCTAAAGGTCACCAGTGACCCTAAGATTGCAAAATCCAATGATCAATTCCCAGATTTTGTCTTGATTGACCTGTAAGAGGAACTTCCCATGGCTGCTCACTCATCCCTCCTTGAAACACTTTCCTCAGCTGACCTACAGCATACCTCACTCCTAGATTTCTTCCTAACTCACTTCATTCTCAGTCTTTTTGCTGGTTTCACCTCATCTCACTGACCACTACATATTGCAATGCGCCAGAGTTTAGTGCTTAGACCTCTTCTCTATTCACATTCAATATCAAGGAGGGTTCAACCAGTCTCATGACTTTAAATATCAGCTCCGTATCAACAATTCCAGAATGTATGTGTCCAGCCAGGACCTCTCCCCTGAACTCCAGATTTGTCTATGGGACTGCCTACGAGACATATGTACTTACGTGTCTATGCAGCGTCTCAAACTTAACATGACTTATCAAAACTTAGCTCTTAATTCTAGCACATCTCTCTCCTCTGTTTTCCCCAAATTATTTCCCATCCTTAAGAGATATATAAACCAAAAAAACTCTTGGAGTCATCTCTGATTTCTCTCTGATTTTAACAACCACCCCCCGCATCTAGTCTGTCAGCAAATCTTGTTGGCTCTATTTTCAAAACATAACCAGAGTCTCGCCACTTCCTGCCACCTCCATTGTTACTATCTTGGCCCAAACCAACATCGTCTTTCACTAAAATGATTGCAATAGCCTCCCTGAATTATCTTTCTCCATCCCACCTTGTAACCCTAGGGTTTATGTTCAACACAACAGTCAGAGTGATACTGTTAAAATATGTCATATCATGTCATTTTTCTACTCAGAATGCTCTAGAAGTCTCCATCCACAGAACAATGGTCACCAGGGCCCTTCATGGTCTGGTCTCATTACCTTTCTGACTTCGTCCTGCACTATTTTCTCCCTTCCTCACTCTTATCTCAGACACTCTGGTTGTTCAATTTATAATGAGGACATAGACTTTAATTATGATATTTTTGAACCTCTCTTTTTTTCTGAAGGTAAAATAAAAACTCTTATTTTTCTTATTCTTTCTTTTTCAACTTTTATCTTACATACAGGGAAGATACGTGTAGATTTGTTACATGGGTATATTGTACCCAGGTAGTGAGCATAGTATCCAATATCTAGTTTTACAACCCATGCCCCACTCCCTCCCCCTCTAGTAATCCACAGTGTCTATTATTCCCATGTTTATGTCCATGGGTGCTCAATGTTTAGCTCCCATGCAGAATTTAGTTTTCTGTTTCTGCAGTAATTCACTTAGGATCACAGCCTCCAGCTCCATCCAAGTTGCTGCAAAAGACATGATTTCATTCTTTTTTGTGGCTGCATAGTATTCCGTGGTGTATATGTAGCACACTTTTTAATCCAGTCCACCATCGATGGACACCTAGGTTGATTCCATGTCTTTGTTATTGTAAATAGCACAGCTATGAACATACAGGCACATGTGTCTTTTTGTTATAATGATCTCTTTTCCTTTGGCTATATACCAAATAATGGGATTTCTGGGTTGAATATTAACTCTGTTTTAAGTTCTTTCAGAAATCCCCAAAATGCTCTCCACAGTTGCTGAACTAATTTACATTCCCACCACAGTGTAGAAGCTTTGTTTTTAACACCACTAACCATGATGATTTTCATTAGTCAGCTTTGCCTCACTTTAAATTTCTGTAGGCAAAGTTCTACCTGACAACAGAAAAATTCCACGTACCACAACAGGGAGACATTTTATTTTCATTGCTGCTCAGCCAGCAGATCATACTGTATAAACCTATTTACTTGAGACTCAAGCCAAAGATTTTAAAGGCAATGTTTATATAACAATGTTCATAAGATACAGCTTCACAAGCATCCCAGTGATTTAAACTGAAAAGCAGCTTTCATCAAAGGCACATATGTTCTGATCCTACACTGACTGCCTCAGGCAAGTATGCCACTTGACAATATTTTAGCCCAAACACAAACTGAAAAACACCTGTAACAGGTTTACCAACAAAATTCACACAGCATTGTGAAGAATTCCCTGTGCACTACAGAATGCTGTTTACTAAAATCTAATAGAACAGGAATTCAGCCCTCATTTTTTTAAATTTAGTTCACAGTACTGAATGAGAGTGATTTTTCATCTCACTTCTCTATTGCTGTCCACTTCTAGTCCAATGAGTATAATAGAAACCTGACTTTAAGAAATGCAAGATATTTAGGTCCAACTTTATCCATGATGCTGGTACATTTCATGCCTTCCTTTAACTCTAAAGTATTAACCCTATGTGAAAAGTTTAGACCCTTGACTCAACCTACATAATGACACAGTGCTTGATCATTTTTACAGTGCTAATCCATATATTTAAGGGATTGGAGAGAGATACCTGCCGGAGATGGGCTTCAGGAATGATGTAGTATCAGGGATGGCCTGGATCTAATGAGTACAGAGAAAATGATCGAGCAGAGGTTGTATATAACAGCAGAGGACTTCCAAAAAACAGAGACCATGCAGAACAGCTGGGAAGCCAAGCAGACAGTAAGTAGACCTACAGGTTAAATAGACAGATATTATAGCAATGAACCTCTGATGGATTTAGCAAGGTTGGGATATTCTCTAGTGACAAGTAGCTTGAGACAAATGGTAAATAGCAATGGGAAAGTTTTGATCAAGAGCTACATAAATCCGGATGATAAACACATGACAGAGGAGCATGAACCAGCAGAACTAACAGACCTATGCAAAGAAGCAGAGAGACTCAGCCAGAGATAGAGGGTTGACGACATGTATATACCTCTGTTTCCTCTCAAAACTCCACAAAATAACAGTAAATGGATTGCGTAAAGCCATAAAGCCACAAGAACAAACAGAACAGTAGAACAGACAAAAGCAACAAAAGTTTGGAAGCTGGAAAGCATAGGACAAGTAGTAACTAACTCATCAGATCCAAGAAAGCTGGATCTTAAACCAGCAGAAAGGAATGATAATTAACAATCTGATATGCAGTACAGAGCCACTAAATATCCCAGGAATTGTCACCACCAAGTACTTTGGGAAGTGAAGGAGCAAAGGTGGGGCTAAAACTAGAGGATTTATTGAAAGTCTGTTTAAGAAACAGATGGACACCTACCCCTCCAGATGCCTTCCCTAATTCCACAGAGCCAGTCAATTTCCCTTTTCACACTTCAGCAGACTAGAGAGGATCCCTGCAATGAAGGAAGAGCAGAAAGTAGGGGTTTCACACTGAAATCAGGGGTTATGTGAAAGCTTACACACTGAGTGTCAAACCCTCAGCTCTATTCTCCATTCAGCTTCCAGAGAGATCAGTGCAAGGGCTATGTTCTCCAGGCTGGAAACTAGAAAATTCCTCCCTGAGGGAATTGGCAGCCTAACAGAAATGACCCCAAAATACTGGTGTTGAGGATTTTCCACAAAATAACCCAATTAGATCTCCCTACATAAAGTCCACAGCCACAAATCAGCCAAAAACAGACAGCCAGGATTCCGAGGCATCTGCATAAAGCCTCCACCATGAGAAGCAGAGACCAAAACCAACAAACAAAACATCATCTTGATAGAAACAGACTATGTGGGGATAAGAAAACTACACATAAACTTTCTTATACCCTCAGAAAGAGAAGAGGAGATTTTGCACTCATGAAGTGAAAACACAATGCTATGAGAAGGAACACAGAGAAAAGGCAAGAGCTCTTGGAAATTAACGTAGGCAAGCAGAAACAAAAACTCAAAAGAAGGATTAGAAATTGGAATACACGAAAACTTCTAGACCATAGAGTAAAAAAGATAAAATCATAGAAAACTGTAGAAATGAGATTAAAAAAAAAAAAAAAACTAAAAAACCAATCCAGGAGATCCAATAGCCAAATAATAAGAATTTCAAGAAAGGGAAAAAGATAAAACCAGGAGTAACTTGTGAATGAAATAACTCAAGAAAATATCCCAGTAGTGAAAAATAGGCATTTCCAAATGATTACACATACCCATTGGGATGAAAACGAATCCATAGAAAGATACCTTGTCATAGTAACCTCACAATACTGGGAACTAAAAAAAGATTCTAAATGTTTCCAGAGTGGAAACAGAAAGAAAAACATAACATTTATAAGAATCAAGGCTCAAATGGAGTCCTCTGAACAGTTCCATTAGAAGTTCAAAGACAAAAGAACAGTGCACCAAAATTTTCATAAAATTATTTCTAACCTTTAAATCTCTACCCAGACAAGCTATCAGTTAAGTGTAAGGATAAATGAAAGACATTTTAAAACACGCATAATCTCAAAAAATTCTTTTATCTATACTTTCTCTAGAGGCTACTATAAGAGGTGTTCATTCAAAACAGATATAGGAAACAATGGGTCCACAAAAGAGAAAGGCAAAGGGACTCCTGGAGATCAGGGCTAATGGGAGACAACAGGCTGAGGGCTTTAAGTCAAGCCTGGGATAGTGCAACTAGAGAAAGTCAGAAGGCTCAAAGAAAGAGCCCTCCAGAGATAAAAAGTTATAACCGCCTAATGTGAGCATGATGAGGTTAGAGTTACAGAATGGAAGAGAATTTGGTAATAAATTTAAAAGAAGCAACATAAGAAACTAAGAAAAAAAATTGTGATAATGACTACACTAGGGGAAATCAAATGTTGTACAGGAAAATAATCACAGTATAACATATGACTCAGTTGTAAATAGCATATACCTAGTCATAATAATGAAAACAGCTATTGATTATATCAAAATTATGATCTAAATATAGAGAAGATTTAGAAAATTGGAAAATGCATATATATGCACATATATATTATGTGTGTGTGTGTGTGTATGTGTGTGTGTTTATGTGTGTGTGTGTAGTGGTAGTTAAGAGACATAGGACAGGAAAGAGAATTATATAATTTTATTTTCATCTTCCAAAGATGGAAGTCAACAGACAATGACTAAAACTGAAAATTCTCTCCAATAATCATGTAAAAACAAAAAGATAAATGCCACCAAAAAAATGAAAATGATTTGAAAGTCATCTCTGGGAAATGTCTAAAGGCATGAAGATCAAGGAATTTCCATTTTTCAAAATAAACCTTATAGCGCTATTTGGTTCTTTAAACTACATGTATGTATTACCTCGATCTAAAAATTAAATTTAAAAAACTACAGTCAGATAATCTGAATTAGCACACAGATTAAATGAAAAAGAAGGCAGGAGAACCAGAGACGTGGAAAATATTTGAGATTTCCTTCCCTTCATCTGTGGGCCCTGTGTTCCTTCCGGTTTATCTCAGCTCTGTCTTCCCTGGTATTAGCCATTACCCAAATCCCAGTAGAATCACCACTTTTTCTCTGGAAACTTCTCTCTAATGACTGAATAAATTAGCAGTTCAAATTACGCAGCACAGAAAGGCTCTGATCAAACATCAGAAGCTACTGAAATCTCCCTGTGAGTAAATGGACACACTTTTTTCAAATGCAGATTTCTTTCTTTCTTTCTTTCTTTTTTTTTTTTTGAGATAGAGTCTCACTCTGTCACCCAGGCTGGAGTGCAGTGGCATGATCTCACTGCAACCTCCGCCTCCCGGGTTCAAGCAATTCTTCTGCGTCAGCCTCCCTAGTAGCTGAGACTACAGGCGCAAATTTCTTTAAAACACACTTATATAGTTTTGTTTCTTTAGCAAACACCAAAAATGATATTTGTGCTTCTCATCTAACTTGAAGCAGTCCTGACCTTGTGTTGCCCTCTATAGAAGAGACTATCCAAATTTCATAATCAAATGCTGCCCATAGTACAGACAGTTGTTTCCAAACCATTAAAATTCCCAGGTTGTTCTCTTCTGTATCCAATGAACAAAGAAAGATTGGAAGTATGGCAAGTGCATTTATGCCAGGCCTCAGCATGATCGAGGATGAGGGACACACAGGTGCAGAGTGTTTTCAGTCCCTCTAATTCCTAGCTCTTCCTAATGACCCTTTTGCTATCCTCTCACTGAAACAGTGGCAGTCACTTTTCAAGAGGAGTGTGGTAACAGCTGAGAACAAAGAAAGCAGCTTAGCTTTGAGTTTCAAATTAGACTTTTTTAAAGCCCATAGCCAAAACAATAATCTTAAAAGCATAGATTTCCTTTGCAAGTGCCAGGCCCTCGAGATAGCAAATGGTTTTTTTGTCGTCTTTCTTGTTGTGTTTTGTTTTCACTTTAAAATCTTAGTTCTTTTCCCAGAAAACATGGGGGTGGGTGGCAGTGAAACATAAGAGGGCAGAATAAAAGGAACTATAGGAGGTAACAAGAGAAACCCAAAATAGGTTGAAGGGAAAATCAAAGGCAGCAAAGAAGTATATCCAGCTTCCCATCCAGAACTCTACAACATGATAGACACAGAGTGGCCAGTACAGCCATAGCACAGATGTGGCAGTCAAGCGTACTATGAAAGGTGGAAAAGTGGGGGGATGAGGGAAGAGGTCCTAAACTAAGTTATTAGCTCTGTACAGAAAAATGAAATCAGTCACATGTTCATTCACCTATGTTTCACTGTATGAAAATTTAAACCCAAGACTGAAGAATTTAGGTCTGGAGAACTAGTATGGTTTTGAATTTACAACTTTACAAATATGGAGATCAAAATACATTTATCTCTTCAAGGAGGATTTACTGAGCACCTGCTACACTCCTGTTATGCTAGGGATACAGAGTGGAACTAGAAAGACAAGTTCCCTGCCTTTGTGGCTCCATTTTAGTTAGAAAGACAAGCAATAATTACATAAAGAAAGAATTAAAGAATATAATTAGAGACCATGATGAAGAAATAATGAAGTATAAAGTAATAGGGACACTTCAGACAGACTGGAGGAAAAAGGTCTCATGGCAGTAAACGAGGGAAAAGGTGGTGTGAATTAATAATCCCTGGTTATTTTTCCCACAGAGCTAGGAAAAAATAAAAGGCTTCTCTTCTTCCTCTTGGCATCATTACCTTAGCTCCTTCCCACCCCTGCCTGCCAAGCGGCAGCCCATGCTCCAGACGTCTTCTCCACCCTCCTCTGAAATCTCAACAATTATTTTCTCTTCATTGAGACACTGTGCCAGTTTAAAACTCAGTCCAATCTGGTACAGAGATGAGGAACTTACATCCTTTAGAGGACAAAATGGCAGCTTCAAGGGGCCTTCTGGAGTCAAGAACACATGCAGCAGGATTTCTAATGGTGGACCATTGAGCAAAATATCTGAGAGTCGGCTGGCTCCCATGAAGTCACTTTTTGTGGGAGAAACTGCTCAGCCTATCAGGAGAGCTGCCCTTGATCTTTCAATAATTTGTTCCCAATATCACAGTTTTCAATATTTACGACAGCAATGCAGTAACATGATCCAGCAAAACAAACAGAGAAGAAATAGCAAGAGAGGTCAGGGGAGAGCCAGAAAGAGAGAAATATTAAAGAAGCCAAAGAAGAAGTACTTCCGTATGCATGAAAAAGTGTCTATGAAATCTAGCAAATGTACTCTGAGAGGCAGTATAGGAGAAGAGGCCCATTTTCAATAGGGAGTAAATGAAGAAAAGGAAGTGAAGACACATGCTTTAGAAAGCTTTAAAAGGGAAGAATTGCTGGGTAATAAGGCAAAGAGAATGCAAGGTCCAGGTCAAGTGTTTTATTCACATATGTATATTAGCTTAGGATTAAAAAGACATGAGCATGTTTATCAGCTGAAGAGAAAGAGCCAGTAGAGAGAGAGAGAGATGGACAATGCAGAAGAAAGAAAAACAAGCTCAGGTGCAGTGGCTCACACCTGTAATCCCAGCACTTTGGAAGGCCAAGGCAGGCGGATCACTTGAGGTCAGGATTTCAAGACCAGCCTAGGCAACATGGTGAACCCTGTCTTTACCAAAAAATACAAAAATCAGCCGGGCATGGTGGTGCATGCCTGTAGTCCCAGCTACTTGGGAGGCTGAGACATGAGAATTGCTTCAACCTGGGAGGAGGAGGTTGCAGTGAGCTGAGCTCACGCCACTGCACTTCAGCCTTGGTGATAGAGCGAGACCCTGCCTCAAAAAAAAAAAAAAAAAAAAAGGCCAGGCACGGTGGCTCACACCTGTAATCCTAGCACTTTGGGCGGCCAAGGCAGGCAGATCACGAGGTCAGGAGTTCAAGACCTGCCTGACCAACAGGGTGAAACCCCGTCTTTACTAAAAATCCAAAAACAACATTAGCCAGGCGTGGTGGCACATGCCTGTAATCCCAGCTACTCAGGAGGCTGAGGCAGGACAATCACTTGAACCCAGGAGGCAGAGGTTGGGGTGAGTGGAGATCACACCATTGCACTCCAGCCTGGGCAACAGAGTGAGACTCCATCTCAAAAAAAAAAAAAAAAAAAAAGATGAAGAAAGAGGAGGAGAAGGAAGGACAAACAATTAGAAGGGAAAAATAATCAAGCTACAGCACAAATCTATGTACAAATCCGGGGCCACTTCACAGAATGCTAGAATCGTATATGTGACTGCCCACTGGACACAACAAATGACCATCCATCGCTAACTTAAGAGCAGTTGCTTGCCCTGAAAGCCTTAAATCCTGACTCTCTTTCTCTCAAACCCTCATGTTTTGCTGGTCTTACCGTATGTCTGGAATCTAACCAATCCTAACCACCACCATCATCATCTCTCTCCTTGACCTGTCTGTCTTCTTTCATTTTTGACCCTGTACAGTCTATTTTCCACACAGCAGCTGGATTGGTATTTGTAAGACATAAGACAAATCAAGTCAATCTGGTCTGAAACCCTCAAAAGTCTTCCCATCTGGCTCAAAGTAAGGGCTACTATCCTGTCCTATAAGGCCCTGAATGGTTTGCACCCTTGGCCACCCCTAGCCCACCTTCCTAAGGGGAGAGTCAGGAGTGTAAAGGAATGCACATCTGCAACACATTTCTTTTTCACAGAAGTAAAAGGAAGGCCATCTGCTGCAATGAAGATGAGTGGTCATAGGTTTCGGAAAGGAGGAGAACGTGTGCAAATTGTACAGGAATTGTTGCTCAGCAAAATGTTACAGGAAGAAGATTCGTAAGATTGCTAAACATTCATTTTAGGGGCAGCTGTTCACAAGGCTGTCTAGTTGACTCCAGCCAGTGCTCAGCAACCCTGGAACAGAAAAAGAGACAAATAGATCCAGATGGAGTTGTTAAGGCAGCAAAAGGGCACAGGATGAAGGAATTTGGAGTGTCAGTGTGTGCCTGGGGAGGAGGGTCTGCTATTCTCTAGCTGGGTCCTCATAAGGGAAAGAAGTTGGGGAAACAGACCTATGAAGGGACCGTTTGGACCCTTTCTAAGGAAACCAACAGGAAAACTCAACAGCCCAGTCTAAGAAAAGTTCCCGAGGTCTACTATTCCCATACCGAAGTCTCATCAGAAGAGTCAATACCAGACCTGCCTCCTTTGCTGATGCCTAAATAGGGGCATGAATTTAAATGTCTTTCCCTTACAGGACACTTTAAATGAGTAATGGTCCCAAATTAGACCTTCACAGCTTAAGATCTGGTGGGGGGGTGTTGTTAAAAATAAGCTCAACTTTAAAGGAGATAGAGTCTAAAAAGGGTAGCTACAGAGCCAGCTTCAAAGGGAATTTTTAAAGCCTCCAGTATTTCCTGAGAGTCCACTTAAATATAGTTCTCACCCCATAAAGATCTCCTTACCTACACACTCAGCCTAAAGCTACCACCATGTGCCTGGTACCTAACCTTCCAGGGAGGGCTAACTCAGTTGTCACAACATATGAAAATATTAAACAAGTAGGTAAGAAGAAGTCACTTAGGAGCTGGCTTAGAAATTACTCCAAATAAAATCCCCTCTCTGGCCATATCAAAGAAATCCTTAAATCCATGCCTAAAGGCCTTTGGTATGACATTTATTTTAATAAGTTCTAAATATATTCATCTATGAATTTGTGAGTCTTTCGGCCTGTGAAAAAACATTTAAGTATTACATATTAAGCAAAATTAAAATCAGATGTCAATTGATGGATATCACATATGTGAGAATCATCTACATCCCCACTGTCTGTTCTACACCAGAGTATCACTTCACCTACCAGGTGACAGTGTGTCCTGAAAAATATTTTCTCATAGGAATTAATATTAAATTCATTGGAAAGTCACCAAATAAGTAAATAAAATTCTCCTCTGACTAAAACGTCTGTTCTAAGAAAGTTCAATTTCATACAAACTTCTAAGCCAATGCTACCTTTCGTTTTATAACACAAAAGAGAAATTCTATGTCTATGTTATGCATCTAATAATCGAACAAGTATATTTTGTTGAATTTGAAATTTGATTTAGAAAAACATATTGGCTGTGAAAATTACTGCATCAGCATAATCTACCTCCATGAAGTTAATGGCTAATAATACATTATTTTCCTTCATATAGGAGAAAAAACGGTTTGGACCCCATGAGTTCCCCATGTGGCTCTCTCCCCTCAACTAGCCAATCAAACAAGTCAGATAAAGTCACTGATGACCTCCTAAGGCCTCCCAGATCTCTTCTGACTTCCTCTCTCAGTGGTCCTGTTGTTCTCCCTTCCTTCTTAAAGCTCTCTCATCCTTTGTTAGCAACAGACTCTCCTTCCAGAGTCATGCTTCCATTCTACCTCACTGGGTTCTCTTCTCAGCCCCTCTGTGGCTCTCCTTCTTCAGAGTCTACTCTTGGCCAGCTTTATGCTGACTGCACCGTACACTTCCTTGACATGATTACTTTCTATACATTGTTATTCCCAAAGAGATCTCTCTGTGCCTCATAGCTCTGGAAACCAGAACCACATTTCTAACCACCTAATGAACATTTCCATCAGAATAACCTGCAGGAAAAAGAACCACTTTCCTCCAGTAATAACTGCACCTTTTTCCTATTTTAGAAAAAAGCTTCATCATACATTCAGCTGAATTTGCTAGAAATCTACAAGTGCTTTTGAACTCGTCCTTCTAAAATACCCCACATATTCATTAATTCACCCATAAAAACATTTTTTAAAGTTTCAGGAAGCTTGGCTGGGCATGGTGGCTCATGCCTGTAATCTCAGCACTTTGGGAGGCCAAGGCGGGTGGATCACCTGAGGCCAGGAGTTCGAGACCAGCCTGACCAACGTGGTGAAACCCCCAACTCTACTAAAATTACAAAATTAGCCAGACGTGGTGGTGCATGCCCGTAACCCCAGTTACTTGGGAGGCTGAGGCAGGACAATCATTTGAACCCAGGAGGCGGAGGCTGCAGTGAGCTGAGATCACACCATTGCACTACAGTCTGGGTGGCAAGAGCAAAAATCTGCCTCAAAAAAAAAATTTTTTCAGGAAGCTTACGTACAATCTATTCTGGAGTATCAAAAATAACTCTGCAAAGTAGAGACTATTATCTCCATTTTACAAATGATGGTTTACATAACTGATATAAATTCTTATAAATTATGATGCAAAAAATTGAACCTAGATTCATTTGTCTGACTCCAAAGTCCACAGTCTTTTCACAAACCATGAAACCACAGACCACGTGCCAAATCTGATCTGCCACCTGCTTAAAGTTGTATTGGAACATAGCCACACTCATCTGTTTACGTATTGTTTATGGCTGTTTTAGCACTACAAAAGCAGAGGTGAGTAGTTTGCAACAGAGACCATATGGCTCACAAAGCCTAAGATAGTCACTATCTGCCCATTTACAGAAAAAAAAAAAGTTTGCCAACTCTAAATCTATACTGTCCTCCATATATTTACCACCTCAATTTATGTCTTCCTGGATTGCTGCAACAGTCTCCTAACTGGTTTCTCTGCCAGTAGCCTTTATCTCCTCCAATTCATTGTCCACAATAAAGAATCAAATTTTTCTTATTTATCCCACAACCTTTAGGATAAAAGGCAAACTCCTTGTGAAGCTATGGAAAGCTTTTTGACATCTTGGTTCTTTCATTTCTTTCCATTCACATCTACTTTCCACTCAAGCCAAAGTGAAATGCATGGAGTTCCCCGAAAGGGCCAAGCTATTTGATGCCTACATTTTTGCATATACTATGTTCTCTATACCTGGAAAATAGCTAAGTCCTGCCTCATTTACCTACTTATTTTGTATTCTGAGCTCAAGAGTCACTTTCTCCTAGAAATCCTCCTGGGCTCCCTCAGGCTGAACTAGGCAAACATTTTTATTCATTCATTAATTCATTCAACATGTGTTCAATGGGCACAACCATCAAGTAGGAGATAATGCTTTGTGCTAAATACACAATGATGAACAGGACAAAGACAGATCCTCTTCTCACAAGTCCAGCTTCTTTATTCCCTCTTAATTCATAGTATAAGAACAGATGAGACGAGGATGAAGGCAGAGGTGGACATTGAGATGGGGATGGAGAGAGTAAGGGAGAGACAGATGGATCAGTGATTTTCTTGTTTGACCCTCTTACCACATTAAAAGGTTATTGAGGGCTCAAAAGTATCTAGTGTTTCTTAAATACCAATGTATACCAGAACACCTGGCACAAGGCTGAATGAATTAAATAATTTTGAGTGATACAAGGACACAAGAGATGAAGATCCTTGTAAAACGTTCAGGCTAGTTAATAGGCTATCAAGAAAATGTCATGCTGTTTTCTGGGGAAAGTCAACCTTTACAGAATTTGAGAGGCTTTGTGAAAATGTGACTAGGAATGAAAAGAAAGATGGGTATAAAAGAACATTCCTGCAAAAGACACAAGCCCTAGTTGGAATAAGAATCAGGGAGTAAAGTGTACATCACACAGTCTTTTTCTAACTACTGGACTACACATCTGAGACTGCCCTGGACTACACATCTGAGACTGCTAAACCATGATAAAAGGTGCCTATAACCCTGAACTTGGGGCTCCATAAAATGTTTTTTCTCATGCGAAACTCAGCTCATTAAAGAAAAGAAAAAAGACAAAGTTTTCTTTACAAGCTATGGTAAAGCAGACACAAAGAATTGACCCAGTTTCCAAAATAAACATTAGGCTTAAAGCTCTCCCCATCTGGCTAAAACTAAAGCCAGAAATGAAAATCAGCATGTACACACTGCATTTTCTACCTACACCGCAATAACAAGGCCAAGACAAATTTTAACATGTAACTTAATATTATACCTGAAATACCTGAAGTCGCATATTAAGATTTGTAGAATAATTTTTTTCTAATATTAGGAAAGGGCAACAACCCACTTTTAAGCCTGTCTGGATATCCACCTAGGTCGAGTACCTCTCCAAGTCCAAGTCCCACTGGGCATGGTGTGCAGTCTCTTCCTGGGCCCTGATCCTTTACCCTGAGACACATGCCTTTCAGTCTTCCTAGCTGCCTAATTTCTATATGGAAAAACACTTCTCTTTCCAAAAGCATATTTTCTTTTCTCCATAATATTTATTCTCTGACAACTTTTCCTCTTAACCTTTACAGAACATTTTCTATAGAAAACACATCTTATTCTCCATAAAGCAATGTATGCACTATATGTAAAAAGCCCTAACATCTTTGTGACACCACTTTCTTTCCATCTTAACCTCATCTCCAATAACCAGCTCCATGCCATGGACAGGGGCATAAATGCACCAATAGAACCTTAGAAGTATAGAATGTTAGTCCTGAAAGGGACCTTAAAAGTCACTGATTTCAACTTTGGCATTTCACAATTGAAAAAAATAAATAAAGCTCAGAGAGATGTAAAGACTCTCCAGGGTCACACGGGCCTTTGCTCCCAACTTACTCTATATTCTCCCAATTTCTGGATCTTACCATCTTCTATTTATTTCCTTTTCCGGTGGGGAGAAGTCAGGGCAATGCCCATAACCTCAGCTTGACTTTTATCTGAATTCCACAGAGGATGCTGAATAAACTCATCAACATGAGAATACAGTGTGTGGCATTGGTCTCCTCTGTATGGTGCTGATTGACCAGTGTGCAACTAAATGCTTCCCAGTTGCACTTAACCGCCTACATGAAGATTCAGATTTCTTGTCATACACATCCCACTGGCAGATGGTCTTGCTATACTTTTAGATGTGCTAAACCATTTGTCTACTGCATTACAGATCATACTAGTCAATTACAGAAAGTTTTTAGATGTTTACGTGATTACCAATTACATCCTATTTGAAAATTGCAGATTAGCATCATTATGACAGGGCTTCCTGTCTACCAATTAAACCCCAGCAATTTTTATATTTATAATTTTTAGTTTGGTTTGTTTTGCTTTATAAGACTCAGTTTGCATTGCATCACAGCAGGACAAATTCTCATTGACATATACTGCATGGGTCAGCCTGTCTCAATTTACCAAAGCAGACAATAGAAAAAGTAGAAAAATGCTTTTAGAGAAAATGAATACCCAAATTCCAATCTCATAGCCCTTTGACATATGCTGAATACATATTTAATAATGTACTTAACAGTGTACTAAAACATATATATGGAGAGAGAAAAAAATTATGGTTGAACTTATGGCAAAGAGTTATTCAAAACATATTTTTATTTTATATGTTTCTTTCTTTTAGAAAATTATAATGAAATATGCAGATGTAGAGTCCCTTATAACGGCTGGATTAAACTAAAATACAGTTTATATGATAATTTAGCAATAAAGAAGGGACTAAGTAACTGCTTTCTTGATAAATCTTTGGAAGAGGATTTTTAAAAACATATGAAGACAAGAGTATAATCCTATTAGAAAAATTCCATCATTGCATTCCTTTGTTTTATAGTCATCAAAATAAATCATCCACGTACTATGGTGCCTTCTGAATAGCAGCAAAATTAGTCAGTGTGCCTAATCCTTAGAAAATCTAATATTATTAGGGGCTCAATAATAAGATTATGTAAATAAAATGGATTAGAAAACACTTCATGAAGGCATCATTAAGTATTTACCAAGCAAATTAGCAAGGAGATTACTTACATCTTGATCTAAATACACATACACACACACATACGTATGTACATACATACTATTTTCTACAAGTGCTGCAAAAATATTCTCTCACAAAAGCCCTTTGGTAGTGAATTTTGTGAATGTCAGCAGAGTAGCTGGATTCATTCATGAATGGACAGATACAGAGGAATGGGGAGGATGTGGCTACCCTGGGGAGTAATGGCTGCCACCAGAGCAGTGGAGGTCACTCAAGGCAGACAGAGTATGAAAAAACCAAGAGAAGACAAATTTAAGGTAAAGAATGCATGACGGTAGATGTATATAGAGAAGCATCAGGCAACCCTTCCAATTCAGAAATCTGAACAGGAAGATTTCCCATGTTGGGCAAATATAGGAACAAAGGATTTAAGTCTAAGAAATTCCCAGGTAGCAGGTAAGAAAAGTATCCTGGGACCCTGCTGACATAGGAGGGATCTGGAAGGAATCTCAGTTGAGTGGAATTAGGGGAAGGCCTATACTATTTTTTGAAGATCTGTCTGATATATGAACAAGGAAAACTTTTGAGACTGTAGTCTTAGACAGAGCCCACATCCAACTTAGCATTATGGTAGCAAGAGCCTAGGAAAGGAAAGGCCATTGAAAAGAGGGCTCATAAGGACCTAGGAATCGGGATTGTTGCCACATTCATACTTCTAAATTTTTCTGAAAGACATATAAATTTTGGATGACTTTCTCGAGAAAAAGAGTCTATCATTTGCAAGTAGTGATTATTTTTCTCAACAGAATATAGGCAGTTGGTGTCTCCATCAACCTTTTGATAAAACATTTTTCTGTTTTTGAGTTATAAGGTTACAAGTGGTGCTTCTTAGACAGCCACACAGATTGACTAGAACCCTGGCACAAGTGAAAAAATGAACCTTTCTGTTTTCTACCTGCCTCTTCCCTATCCTATCTTCCCCACCACACATACACACACACACACCGCTAAATCCCTGGCTATGGCTGCTAGCACATATTGGTTTCTAAGAATGCAGGTGGTTTGTTTTCATTTGTTTGTTTTCCTTGGTGTTCTTGTAGGAAAAAAATGATACTATATTTACAAAGAGCTACAATATCCAAATTTGGTTGACATTTCGGGTCTAACAAATTTTGGAACTGTGCAAAGGTACTATAACACTTCATGAATCTAGACAGCTTTTTATAATATTCTCAGGTTTTTCAAAGGAAATATCCCATGAAATTACCAAGGACCCAAGGACTAAAAGGGAAATTTAAAGGTATCTCCCTGGAATACTCTGGCTATAGAAACTGGACTTAATCAGAAGCATAAAAGGAAAACCTAAGTCAAAAGGCAAGAAGATGTCAAAAATTGGTATACAAACAGAAAACTGCTACTCAGGTATTCAAAGAATATAATAGAAACTCAGAGAAGAAAACAACCAACTTTAAAACTAGGTTTTTATCTCTAAATCAAAACAGGAACTTCAGAAAATGGAAGAGATGAGGAGAAATGGAA